>NC_000010.11:81052186-81203701 GCF_000001405.40 Homo sapiens
GATAAACAATGCACTTCAAAAACATTTTGCTGGGGAAAGGACACCGTTTTCAACAAATGGTGCTGGGATAATTGGCTAGCCACATGTAGCACAATGAAACTGGATCCTCATCTCTTACCTTATACAAAAATCAACTCAAGATGGTTTAAGGACTTAAATCTAAGACCTGAAACTATAAAAATTCTAGAAGATAACATTGGAAAAACCCTTCTAGACCTTGGCTGAGGTGAGGATTTCATGACCAATAACCCAAAAGCAAATGCAATAAAAACAAAGATAAATAGCGGGGACTTAATTAAACTAAAGAGCTATTGCACGGCAAAAGGAACAGTCAGCAGAGTAAACAGACAACCCACAGAATGGGTGAAAATCTTCACAATCTATACATCTAACAAAGAACTATATCCAGAATCTACAACGAACTCAAATCAGCAAGAAAAAAGAAACAATCCCAGCAAAAAGTGGGCTAAGGACATGAATAGACAATTCTCAAATGAAGATATACAAATGGCCAACAAACATATGAAAAAATGCTCATCACTAATGATCAGGGAAAGGCAAATCAAAACCACAATGTGATACCACCTTACTCCTGCAAGAATGGCCATAATCAAAAAATCAAAAAACAGTAGATGTTGGCATGGATTCGGTGATCAGGGAACACTTCTACACTGCTGGTGGGAATGTAAACTAGTACAGCCACTATGGAAAACAGTGTGGAAATTCCTTAAAGAGCTAAAAGTAGAACTACCATTTGATCCAGCAATCCCACTACTGGGTGTCTACCCAGAAGAAAAGAAGTCATTATACGAAAAAGATGCTTGCACACGCATGTTTATAGCAGCACAATTTTCAATTGCAAAATTGTGGAACCAACGCAAATGCCCATCAATCAAGCAGTGGATAAAGAAACTGTGAGATGTGTGTGTGTGTGTGTGTGTGTGTGTGTGTGTATAATGGAATACTATTCAGCCATAAAAAGGAATGGGTTAATGGCATTTGCAGCAACCTGGATGAGATTGGAGACTATTATTCTAAGTGAAGTAACTCAGGAATGGAAAAGCAAACATTGTATGTTCTCACCGATATGTGGGAGCTAAGCTATGAGGACGCAAAGGTGTAAGAATGATACAATGGACTTTGGGGGCTTGGGCGGAAGGGTGGGAGGGGGCGAGGGATAAAAGACTACAAATAGGGTGCAGTGTATACTACTTGGGTGATGGGTGCACCAAAATCTCACAAATCACCACTAAAAAATTTACTCATGTAACCAAACACCATCTGTGTCCCAATAACCTATGGAAAAATAAAAAATTAAAAAATAAAAAGAAGACAAAGAAAAAAAGAATTAAAGTTTTACATAATTTTTATCATTATTAAAAAAATCCCATTTTGCTAAGTGTAGAAAAGCCAGATACAAAGAATGCTTATAGTATGATTCCACTTATATAAAAAGCTCCAGAAAATGCAAATTGGTAGTGGCCTGAGGCTGCGGTGGGATGGCGGGGAAAGAAGGTCTTAACTGCAGACAGGCACAAGAGAACTTAATGGGTGTGGTGGATGTTCTAAAACTGTATTGTGATTACGGCTGCATCATTTTACTAAATAAATTTACTAAATGTCATTGAATTGTACACTTATAATGGGAAAATTTAATGGTATGTAAATGAAACCTCAGCCAAACAATTTTTTGAAAAGAGAATTTAAAAGCTGGAAGATGTGACCCAGCAAAACACCCAGAACATTTCCTAAGAATATCTTTGTCTTGCTGCAAGATTTGTTTAACCAAGTGGGAGCCTACTACTTTTGTTATTGTTTCCAAGGTAGAAAAGCAGAAAGACTGAGTCTCTATGAGAGATGTGTTATCGTAGGATATGGTGGTAATGTTGGGGAGGTGTGGGGAAAGGTGGGAAAATGGGATGGAAAGATAGGAACCTCATCAGGAGGAGCTAAATTTCCATAAGAGAGGTGAATATATGGTCCAAATTCTTGGAATGTTGCAAAGGTATCAGAGGCAAATTGGTCAAGTATTGAATTGTTAGAAGATGAAGAAAGCAGGAAACTTGTAATGTGTTTTACAAAGATTTCTATTTAAAGAAGTTGTAGAGCAATTTATTTTGTAACTGAAATGGGTAAAACGAAATGGAAACTAAGGCCTTCACATAATTACTTTAATGGCTATGGTTAGAGAAAACTTTGATCAGCATTTACTGTTGAATAGAAAAATTTCAAGAAATGCTTCTGTGCAATTAAAAAATATAATATCAGTCACACAAATGTTCCTCAATAGAATTTGAAATCAGACTGGCTGTTAGATGAAGTTATGAATTTTCTGTCTCATTCTTTTTCTTGTTACAACTTTTGTTAAAGGGGTAAATATGTGATTGCATTTAAATACCACTGTTTTTAAGGAAGGACACTATAAGTGAGTTATAACTAAATTAGAAAATTGATTATCTTTCTCATGCCATTTAATTGTATTTTAATAGTTTTCAAATGAACAATTAAAATAAGATTTAACTACTAAAATTGATATTTTGTAATCAGGTCTGTTTATTATCTGATTAATTCTATAAAGAGTTTGACAGATCAAATTATGACAGAAATGACACCATAAATAAGTAAATCACTTAAATATCTTGCTCTAATATTTCATTTGACATTTGAAGCACATTAAAACAAGAGATTGAATCATTGGAAATTCAATATATGTTTAATCTAATAAAAGCATGCATCAAAAACCCTCTTCCTTTTTTGAAAATTGCTTCATTTTAAGAAGGGCTGAGATACTAATCTGACAATCACATATGAATAGTGACACCACAATTGTCATCAGTACAAGTGATTTTGTATTTTACTATTCATTATGTGACTTTCTTGCAGGCTACTAGTATTTAATTAAACATACTATTTGCTCTGGATAATTAGCAAATAGACTTTCTCTGGATGTTTTAGATATTTCAAAACCATTCATATTTAACAAGTTACAATAATTTTATTTGGAGAAAGATAACAGAAAGAAATCTTCCTATATGCAGATAATGTTGAGTTACCGTGGTTAATGATATTTTAAACTGGCATTAGTAAACTACAAGAACATCTTGTGAGATTCTAAGAGAAACGAGAAAGATCTGTTTCAAGTTTGGAAAACATGCAATAATGTAATAATGTGTAACATAAACAGAATGTTAGACAACAATAGAAGAGTATAAAAAGCAAACAGAAATGTAATGAATACGTATAAACTCATTTAATGCAACTGGCCTATTGTTACCTTTTGATAACAGTCTCTTTCTTTACAGTACATCCAAAGTTTTAGGTAAGTTTTGGGAATACCAACTTCAAAACAGGTACATCATTTCACTAATTAAACATTTACAGTTAAAGTAAAAATAATCAGACATGGTCTTACTAGAGGATGGCATAAAAAGGGATATAGAATAGTTAACAAAAATTCATAGTAATAAAATATGGAAAAAATTCTAAAAAAATAGTGTATCATACAACTGTATATTTATTAACTATAAATTTCCTATCAGCATCTATATATGAAGATCAATTATTTGAACATAAAAGAACATAAAATAAAAATAAAAAGGAATAATAATTCAGGTATTAAGTAAACTGGGTGGTAAGAAAATGACCGTAATTGAAATTTTTTTGGGAAATGTCAAATTATTCATCTGAATTGAGTCCATGATATATAGCAGTCTGTGTTCTGACTTCTGGTTGTAGGATCTTTAGTTAAGAAAGTTCTAATATCTGGTTAAAAATAAGTGCCAGAAATAGTAGTGAACAGAGTTATTCAGAAAATAATAACTACAAACGACCAAAAATCACAATAAAAGTAGGTAGCTGAAAGTGTAATCTGGGGACTGTCTAGCTGGTAGCTGACAAGGAGTGTTTCAAGGTATTATCCTCAAAAAGAAATGGTAGCTAACAAAGAGTGGTATTCAACATTTGGAAGTAAAAAAGCAGTAATGGGCCAGGCGCTGTGGCTCAGGCCTGTAATCCTAGCACTTTGGAAGGCAGAGTCCGGTGAATCACTTGAGGTCAGAAGTTTGAGACCAGCCTGGTCAACATGGAGAAACTCTATCTCTTCTAAAAAAAAAAAAAAAAAAATTGATAATGTAATCCACAATTCCATAATTATAAACAAAGTTAATTTTAAACAATAAAATATTACTAAGAAAACTGTGGTGAAATCATAAAAAGGAATGCCAATAATGTGCATTCCAAAAGGAAGTTTTTGACTATAATTGAGCTTTTTTATTTAAATTTTTTAAAAAAATCAAGAATGTAAGCTGTTTACCAAATGCCTTCCTACATGTATTAATATAATGCTAATATTTATTTTCTTTAATGGATTGTTTTAAGAAATAATATTAATACATATTTTAATATTGGACCATCCTTGCACGAGTTCCTTGCAATTGGACCTCTGAGCTAATCCTACTCGTTCATAATGTTTTTCATAATTTTCTTTAGGATATCTTTGCTAGTGTTTATTGAGACATTTTAGGTCTGTAATAATTCATTTTGTCAATGTTTTATTTTTATTTTATAAGGTGTTTGACACACATGTTCATTATTATTATTAGTGCCTATTTAATGTGAAAATAGCTAAGGGAAGTTTATTATTCCTCTCACATCTAATGTGTTTCTGTCAATTTGTTTCATATATTTAAAAAAATCTATTTTGATATAACATTATTCAGTTCATAAAGATTCACGGCAGTTCTATCTTCATTGTGGAGCTTCACTGCATCTAGAATGCTGCTATTTAATTTCTTATCAAAATTAAAATTTCATAAAGCCCTTAAAACTTTTTTCTCACATGCTACAATATAAGCATGAGCACATCCTTCTTAATTCATTCCTGCACCTTTTGTGGAACCAAATGTAAGACGTCATATGCTTCCTGTTACATTCTTTTTGTACTGGACCCTTCAGAGTAAGCAGAGACTTTTTATTCCTCTGATCAGTTATTTGTATTCTCTTCTTCCTCCTTTGCCTAGGATGAAGGGATAAAGACTTCTTAACATGAAGCATGAAAAAACGTGTTTGTAAATAAAATAATTAATTGTGAATATTCACAAAGGATGTGGCAAATTGTATAGACCGTCACCAGAGCATTTTTAGAAATGAAAATATAAGTATGAACAACTTCAACTTCAATCTGGAAATTCTTCCTTGGAAAGATATTGTTGCCGTAAGGTACATTTATGCATTTAGAACTGTAAAAAACAGTTCAGTTTATGTTAAAAATACAGCTTTATTTTATGCTGCAGTATTGGATTCTGTATTTCTGAGCTGGGCTAGCCAAGCGTGGACTTTGTTTACCACGGATTTGAAAGCGCTCTTTACATAAGCACATGCAGCATGTCTATATTGTAGATTGTGAGTGGGTTGCCCTAGTTTATAGAGATCTCATTTATCTGTTTATGATTTTTGATTAAAACTTATGAGTTGCCCAATCAACTTCCTTAATAGCCAAATGAGGAAGGAGTCCAAGTCATTTAAGACAGAATAGCACTAGGGGGAGCAGAAATAGATGTAACCTCTCTATGCTTTCTAACTAAACAAGGTATGTGTATTTAAGAAAGTTAATGCCACCCAACTTGGTAGATTACGTTTGTCATATGAGATTGAAAGAACACAATATGCATATTTTGGCACATTTCTAAATCCAACTTACACATACAATTCTCTATACATTTAGATTCCAACTTTGTTTATGGTTAGAATATAAAAATTATGAAACTTAAAAATAAGCTTTTAAAACTCAAGAAACTACTACACTATTGACCACAATGCTTTCCTTGATCAGATTCTGACCAAGAGTTAACCTCGGATTTTGGCTTATATCAGAGCTGTAAATCCTTATACTTCCTCCTGCCTACAACAGACATATTGTATGGGTATTTTGTTCTCATCCTTTCATAAATTTTATCTTTTTTCTTCATCTTGGTGATGCAAGCTGCATGTCTATTTAGCATAATAAGCATATTCTGTGAAAGAATGAAAACAAACAATAACGTATTATTTTTCACCATTGCAGACTTTATGCATTTCTTAAAGACAGAAAGGCAGAAAAATCCAGACTGTAATATGCAACAGGGTTTATTATTATTTTGTCTGACAATTTTCTATGAACATTTTCAAATAGAAAAGTTGAAAGAATTTTACTGCAAATGCCCACACATTCACCACTTAGATCCTACAAATTAATATTCTGCTATATTTGCTTTATTATGTATCTGTTTATCTATCCATTCTTCTAATCACCCATCAGTCTCTCTTATTTTTAAAATGCATTTCAAAGAAAGCAGCAGGTGTTAATATAGCTCAATCCTAAAACCTTCAACAAACATATCATTCATTCGATTTTGATATTTGTTCATAGTATTATTTTTGGAAAGATAAAATTTATATACAAAGAATTTGAAATATCTTAAGTGTATATTCTCTGAGTCTGGGCAAATCTGTACTCCTGTGAAACCCAAAATTCTATCCAGATATAAGACGTTACCCTTGTATTGTGTCCTGGGGCTGCCTTTTTACTACAGCCTGGGTGGCTTACAACAGAAATGTATTATCTCACGGTTCTGGAGGCTACAAACCTGAAATCAAGATGTGGGTGGGGCCATGCTTCCTCTGAAGGCTCCAGGGAGGAATCCTTCCTTACCTCTTCCTAGCTTCTGTTTCCCTGGTTTGCAGCTGCATCACTCCATCTCTGCCTCTGTCTTTACATGGCCTTCTTCTCTGTGTGTCTCTTTTCTTATAAAGGACACAAGTTAGTGGATCTAGTATCCACCCAAATCCAGTATGCCTCATCTTAACTTGATTACATCTGCAAAGATCCTATTTCCAGATAAGGTCACACTTACAGGTACCAGGGTTTAGACTTCAAGATGTCTTTTTGAGCAACATAATTCAACCTACAGCAACTGTCACAGCCCAGGAAATTCCCTCATGCCCATTTCCAGTCACTCACTGTTCCCTTTCACTCTGAGGCAACCACCGTTCTGACTTTTTTCCCCTCTTATCATAGATAAATTTATCCTGGCCTAGAACATTAGTTAAATCAAATCAAATAGAATGCACACTTTTGTTTTTATAGCAGAGGCTTGAAAGTACATTCTTTTTTTTCATTTTTCAGTTGGGATTCTTATAACACAGCAAACTCTGGCTAAGTTAACTACAAAAGGAATTTATTCAAAGAAAATCAGGTATCTCACGGAACAGATGGGTCGGAGCAGCAGAGTTAGGCAAGGATAGGGACCAGGGCAGTTCTAGAATTTAAGTAGTGGAAAATATTCAATCAGATGATAAGGATACAGCCATAAGGAAAAATAAGCTTCACGTTCTTTCTTTTTTTCACTCTTGATTCCACATGAAGCTTAAGATTTAAAGTCCCAGAAATTAAAGAGTCTTATTGGCATGGCTTGAATTACATGAGTCTCCCTTGGCTATGAGGGAGCGTATTAATCAGTATTCTTGGTTACAAAACAAAGCTCCTCTAGGTAGTTCAAACAGAAAATAAATTTAATAGAGGAAGTTAATATCTTACAGAATCTCTAGGATGGCCAGAGCCTCAGGTTTGAAAGCTTAAGAGCCAGGAGCTATGCACGAACTACACCAGCACTGTTCTAGGGAAGATGCCAATGCTGCTGGGACTTGCAGAAATCATGGAACCACTTACACTAGATGGTGGATGTCAGACAACTAGCACTTGCTGTCTCTAAAAGCCAGGAACCCCTACTTCCCCTTTAGTCCAAAAGAGGATTCTGTGTGCCACTTCCTTATCACATTGTTCTCAATCAAATCAAACTCTCATGAAGGTCAATCAAATGATGATGCATAAATGGGAAGTTTATGCCTCAGCAGTAAGGAGGCCTGAGACAGTGAGTTCTGGCGGCTCTCCCAAGGAGGCAGTGCTCTAGCCCAGGAATTATCACCAAGATTAAAGTTATTCAAAAGATGCTAGGTGACCGCCAGACACATCTCTCTGCATCACGTGAGGGTATGGACCTTGTCAAATCACCAAAGACACAATGATGGGAAATTCATAATTATCAAAAGGAATCTAGGGCTCTGTTACAAGGAGAACAGGTGCTCTGTTGGTCAAAAAATAGCAAATATGGACTGTATAGGATATTACCATTTGATATAATGTCAGAGTTTGTCTAGTCCAACTTCCTTCCATATGAATGGATGTTTCTCTAATTGTTAACTTTCTGAAGCTCAGGGAATCCTTGGGAATAATGCAATTTATGGATCCCCTCTTAAGAAAAGTACAGATACCCTTACAGGTGTTTTTTGTTTATTTTGAAAAAATGAAAATGCCTGTTTATTGGTGAATCCAAAGACCCGATTTTGTCACATGCTCTGAATTTAAAGGCCAAGCAATTTGAATATCTGGTACTTTCCTACTGGTTTTCTGATGTTCTTAAACTCTATATAGGTTAATGCCATTGTCTTTAATACACACTTTGGCATAGTTTACCTAATTTTGTTAGGCATTTAGAAATATTAAATAAAATAAATAATAATTAAATAATTAAATTATAAATACAAATTAAATATATGGCTTGAGCCCATATTTCCTTTATTTTGACCCATTTTTTTCTTTTAAGTCTAGTGTGAGATTTTTAATAAAATCCTATATAGCTGGTTCCTTCTATGTATTAAAAATGATAGTTAACATTTATTGAGTGCACTCTTCCAACAGGAGAAAGGTAGCCAGGCCATCCCTTAAATGAGTAATACCTACATAGCCTCACTGCTGGAGAAATCACAAAAGAATGAAAGGTATTACTTTTCCCTTCCTTTTTTCACTCTGCTTGGGTATAGGAGAGAGGGGAGAGTGTGGTACAGGGGTTTTAACATCCTTCCTGTTTGAGGGACGAAGAAGCAGAAATTGGCCAAGTGCCCGAAACCTGAGTTCCCCCAGGTTTTCATTTACAAGAGTTAGCCTAAGAGGAGAGGTTTCTCCAGTGATGCTGCCGGAGGCAGACATGGTCCTTCTTGGGGAGGGAAGGAAGGTCTAGATAGGGGAAAATAGAGATGATTGAGAAGAGTGGTTTTCATAAAGGGCCAGGGCCTGTGCACAATTCTAATGAAGCTGGATACATGTCCTAGAGAGAGCGGTTGCTGATAACTGATGTCTGAGAAGCTGGGGTAAGGTGTCTACTCCTCTTGCCATAAGGAAAACAGAACCACAAGTTTTGGCCAGGACTTCTCATTGGTGTTGTTGAGTGGAAGACCTAAAAGTTTCTTCTATTTTCTGACGCCTTTTATGTTTAGAACTTTCATATGTCCTATGGGGGAAAGAAACCAGTGCTATCTTGGAGCCAGTCATACTGGCTCAGGAGAGCCCATGTTAAATTTTCAGGAATTTCATGAACCAGTTGTTGTACACAGCCATTATTAAAAATTAAATCATATAAATTTACAATGAAATAGGTTATATTAACTACAAAATCAATAAATACATAAAACTCATCACTTCCTAAGTACTTGACTACATTTTACTGTTACCTGTGTTCTTGGTGTGATTTACTGTATCTGAATGGTGGTAACACTATAATGGGGTGCTACTGAACATTTTTTGGCAACTCCATGTGCAGTGAGGTCACTTTGGTGGCTTGATATCAGCTTCGGTGGGAGTATTTAGACCAAAATATTGACGAACCTTATGTATCAGGATTTGATTTATTGTTCTAGATAAGAAGTCAGAAAACTATGGAGCACAGGCCAGATCCATCCCACTACCAGTTCTTCTTTCTCTCTAATTTTCTTTCTTGTGGAAAAATACACATAACATCTTAACCATTGTTAAATGTACAGTTCAGTGGTCTTAAGTACATTCATATTGTAGCGTAACCATCACCATTCTTCATCTCTAGAACTCTTTTCATCTTGCAAAACTGAAAGTCTACACTCATTAACTAGTAACTCCCATTTCCCTTACTCCAGCCCCTCCAAAACACCATTCTACTTTCTGTCTCTATGATTTTGACTACTTTAAGTACCTCATGTAAGTAGAATTATACAATATTTGTCTTTTTGTGTCTGGATTATTTCACTTAGCATAATATCCTCAAGTTTCCTCTAGGCTGTAGCATACGTCAGAATTTCTGTCCTTTTTAAGGCTGAATAATATTTGATTGTATGTCTATTACATTTTGCTTATCCATTCATTTTTTGATAAACCTTTGGGTTGCTTCCACATTTGGGCTATTGTGAATAATGCTGCTATAAAAATGGGTATACAAATATCTCTTTGAGACCCTGCTTTCAATTCTTTTGGATATAAACCCAGAAGGAAATTGCTTAATCATCTGTAATTTTATATTCAATTTTTTGAGAAACTGCCATACTGTTTTTCATTATACAGTGGCTGTACCATTTTACATTTCCATCAACAGTACACAATGGTTCCCAATCTCTCCATGTGCCCACAACACTTGTTATTTTATGGTTTTTTTTTTGTTTTTTTTTTTGTGTGTGTGCATGTGTGTATGTGTTTATAATAGCTATCTTAATGGATGTGAGGTGGTATATCATTGTAGTTTTGACTTGCATTTCCCTAATAATTAATGATATTAGGCATCTTTTCACTTACTTATTGGCCACTTTTATTTATACTTTGGAGAAATATCTATTCAATTCCTTGGCCTATTTTCAAATCGGGTTATTTGTTGCTTTCTTGTTGAGTTTTAAGAATTATCTATATATTCTGGATATCTATCCCTTATCAGATATTTGATTTGTAAATATTTTCTCCTATTCTCTGTGTTGTCTTCTTACTCTGCTGATAATGTCTTTTGATGCACAATATTTTAAAATTTTTATGAAATCCAATTTGTATTTTTCTTTTGTTTTCTGTGCCTTTAGTGTCATATCTAAGAAATAACGGCCAAATTCAAGGTCATGAATATTTTGCTGTATGTTTTCTTATAAGTTTTAACTCAGAAAACAAGGATGTCACCTCTTTGAGTCAAGGATGAGGATGCAAGAAGAATCATAGAATGAAAGAGAATCTAAAATGGGAATTAACATATATTCCATTGATGGAAAATTGTCCTGACAGTAGTTAGCTGCCTGGACCTCTCTGAGTGTTGCACACACTGAGGGTTGTTGTAGGCTGAATAATGCCTTCCAACAATATCAAGTCCTGATATCTGGAGCTTGTGAATGTTTCCTTACATAGAAAAATAATCTTTTCAGATGAGATTAACTTAAGACTGCTCAGTTGAGGAGATTATCCTGGATTATTTTGGTGGGTCCTAAATGCAATCACAAGTGTCATTATAAGACAGGCATAGAGAGATTTGACACAGACAGAGAGGAAAAGACAATGTGACCATGGAGGCAGAGATTGGAGTGATGCAGCCACAAGCCAAAGAATGACAGCAGTCACCAGAGGCAGAAAAGACAAAGGACGAATCTTCCCCTAGAGACTTTGGAGGGGATGTGACACTGCCAACATCTCAATGTCTGCCAAATGAAACTGATTTTTAGACACCTGGCCTCCAGAGCTGTGAGAAAATAAATTGCTGTTTTTTGAAGCTACCAATTTCGTAGTGAGTTGTTATAGCAGCCCTATGAAGTCAATACAGAGCTCAACATTTGCATTTGCATCAGGAATATCTGAAGGTCAGCAGTGGCCATTGGCAGAAAGCCTGATGAGGCAATGCACATGCTGTTGAGCCCAGGCCTAGCCATGGCCATTTGTTTATGAGTCTATTGAATGATCACCTAAGTGTGTAAGGATGAAGACTCACTGACACTCACAGAACACATCATTATATGGGGAGTATCACAAGAAACACATCTATTCTTACTCTTTAGAGAAATGGCAAGAGATTCATCTACATTCCTTTCTTCCAACCCTTCACATCTTGTTCTTCCATGTCTTTGACTGCTCTGAGCAAACCACCACTGCTCATGAATCAGTGTGGATTCTTATCTGAAGTTGTCCATTCAGGAAAAGGAGAAAACAGAAAGCATCACCAGATCCTGCTCAATGGGCATTTATAATGTACTCACTATCCTTTAGAGCTACCCAGGAATGAATCTGTAATCCCGCCATGGCACTTCCAATGGGGCCATCTTATTGTGTTGAGTATGAACTGGAAAACTATAGCCATGGGCCAAATATGGCTGGTGGCCTGTTTTGTATGGCCAATGAGCTAGGAATGATTTTTATATTTAAAGGGCTGTAAAAAAACCCATAAAACCAAACTAAAGAAAACAAAAATAAAAATAAATAATATGTGACAGACTGTATGTGGCCTGCAAAGCTTAAAATATTTACTCTGACTCTTTACAAAAAATGTTTGCTGATTCCTGATGCACAGCAATCTGCAAAGCAGGCTCCTTTTAAAAAATCCTGACTAAACTGATTATAAGGTACTTTGAGCTTCATTAGATTAACTAGGTCCTAAGGGTTGAGAGGCAAAAATCTGCTCCATAGGTTGGACTATCCAGAAATCTTTATTTTGCTCTGATATCCAAAGTGATAGGAAGCCTCTAAAATGGCTTCTAATAATCTCTCACTTCCAGTATTCACTCTTTCCCTTAAGTAATCCCCTCCCCTTGGTTGTGGGCTGGACCTAATACCTCACTTTCTAGTAAGAAAAGCAAACAAACAAACAAATAAACAAAGAAACAAAACCAGAGAGAAAGGCAGCTCAAGTGATGGAATATTACTTCCAAAGTTAGGGTACAAAAAAAGTTCTGGGTAAAGAAAGTTACCATGTTGTGAATAGCAACATATAGAAGCACCTGTAGCCAATATGTGGCCAATAGCCAGTGAGCTTGAAAGACAAACTTCTGAGGCTTGCAAACAGCCTCATGAATGAGCTTTTAAGAAAATCAGCACCGCATGTTCTCACTCATAGGTGGGAATTGAATAATGAGAATACATGGACACAGGAAGGGGAACATCACACACAGGGGCCTGTTGTGGGGTGGGGGGAGGGGGGAGGGATAGCATTAGGAGATATACCTAATGTTAAATGATGAGTTGATGGGTGCAGCACACCCATCATACATGGCACATGTATACATATGTAACTAACCTGCACATTGTGCAAAGTACCCTAAAACTTGAAGTATAATAAAAAAAAAAGAAAATCATCCCCAAGTTGAACTTTGCAGCCCCACCAAACACCTTGATTGCCCCCTTATGAGAGACCCTAAACAAAAGGACCCAAGGAAGAGGTTCCTGGATTTCTGACTCACAGAAACAATAAGAAAATAAATTTTTATTGTCCTAAGGTCTTAAGTTTGGGGCTAATTGGTTATGCAGCAGTACATAACTAATAGATTAAATTAAAGATGGAAGTCTTTGAGGTAATTTGCTCAAAGGAACCCAAATTTGTTGTATGTTGCTTCTGAACTTCAAAGAGACTACCCAATATTCTGTTTCTTTCTTAGAAGAAGGAAGTGCAAAGAAGAGCAAAATTTCCTTCATTGTGTAGGGATATTGCAACATACTCAGACAGTGGACCCACTGGAATTGCATTGAGTTGACAAGCCTTTTTCATTTTTGTAAGACAATTTCTTATGTTCTAGCAATATGCATCTTACCAAAACATCTATAGAACTTGTTGCTTCTGACTGCAGGTCCTAGCTATATGCTGTTATTAACATGGTGGATAAATACGTTATTGTACATGATTGAGACATGGTTGAAATGAAATGCCTGCAACCTAAACAGTGGCACTTTGCCAAAGAATTGACATAATCTTGTAGCAAGGTGATGAAGTCCTGCTAACTCTTCCAGGTGAATGCAAATGAATTCTGTTTGTTTGTTTGTTTGTTTATTGGGGTAGAGAAAGAAAATCATCAGCTAAACTAGTTGCTGCATTTTTGTGTGCTGGGAGTCATATTGGTTTATTCCAAGAAATATGTTAAACCTGGAACAGTAGCTACAATTTTTCTCTCAAGTGATAGATTATGATAAATGATTGTCATTTTCGAAGATTCTTCTCTTTTTGATTGAAAATAAATTACATTTATATCTATATCTATATATCTATATATATGTATTGCTATAACCACTGTACTTCAGCTAACCTATTGAAAGAAAATGCCTGGTCAATGCACACATATTTATTGGTTTGGCCTGATATGAATGGAACAGGGATTTAACATGCTCAGTATTTTCACTTTTAGAAATACATCTTGTGCTGGGCATAGTGGTTCAAGTCTGTAATCCCAGTGCTTTGGGAGATTGAGGCATGAGGATAGCCTGAGCTCAGGAGTTTGAGACCGCCCTGGGCAACGTAATAAGACCTTATCTCTACAAAAATTACAGAAACGTTAGCCTGGCATGGTGGTCTGCAACTGTGGGCCCACCTAGTCTGGAGGCTGAGGTGGGAGGATTGCTTGAGCCCAGGAGGTTGAGGCTGCAGTGAGCCGTGATAGTGCCACTGCACTTCAGCTTGGATGACAGAGTAAGACCCTGTCTCAAAGAAAAAATAAAAAAGAAATATATCCTATGAAAACTAGTTACAAATACAGATATATTATTCATATATAAAGATCCTCAGCTATTCATAAGAGTGACATAATGGAAACAACTTGTAGCTCTAACTATTAGGAATTAGTTAAATTAATTATAGAATAACCATGTGATGGAATAAATGCCATGGTGCCATCGAAAAAAATATATTTTCTACAGAAAATTAGCTGAGCATGGTGAGATTGCAGTGGGCCGAGATTATGCCACTGCACTCCAGCCAGGGTGACAGAGTGAGACTCCATCTCAAAAAAAAAAAAAAAAAAAGAAAGAAAGAAACAAAGGAAAGAATATTTTCCAGATGATGTCATTTTAGCCCCAAACTGAGATAATATACAAGCCAAAAATTATTATACACAACCCAGAATGTTATTTACAAATATATAAAACACATTTTACATATTTGTTGTAAAAGACATTACCTTTTTAGTAAAAAAAAAGAATATTTACTATTATCAAATTAAAAACTGAAGATGTAAAGATCAGGCAGCATCTACTGTGATGTACTAATGGTCTGAGTAGCCTCGTGTGGCTAGAATTAAGGGTTATATTTGAAATAGTGGGAGATATGCACGAGCTGGTGGTGAGGCCAGATGGTTGATCATAGCAAAGCCCACCATGATCATCATGTATTCCAGTCTTTAAAAGCACTGTTGTTTTCCATCTCTATATTTGTTCATTTCTTCTTAAATTTTAGACCTAGCTACTGTGACACTTAAAAAGAATATTGTAGCTAATTTAATTTATTCGCATGTAAAACAGGAAGCATTCCTACATATTTGACTTAAATAATATTCACAGAGTGAGACTATTTGTGAATCCTAAGAAATGTTTTGGGAAGAGATTCTGTATGTGATTCTCTCTCCTTCATGGTCAATAGAAAAGGATTCAACAGGTCTGGGTTTGTGTTCTAATTCTGCTTGTAGCTAGATGCATAGAATGTCAGATTTCTTAATGTCTCACACTGGCAGTTTTTAAAACAAATCTGATGAATTTATGAATATCTGTTAAAATTTTGAAAGGCCAAATGGGATTGTATATGGGAAATGTCTTATGAGCTTGTGTCATATATATGTTATGAAATAACGTTGATGTTACAGGTAATAAAATTCTTTTCTAAAATCCAGTTTATTGACTACATTTGGGTTTCTAGTAACCATAGAATATCTAGGTGATACTGAAACCATTTTTAATTTTCTTTTTTCATCAATATGTTCATTCATCATCCAGTTGATCAATCATTCAATGTTTCATTTATTCATTAAAATTATTTATGTGGTGCCTACAGAAGACAAGAGACAATTGTTCAATTTAGATAACTATTTAAAGATGTATTACAGAGCATTTCTGGAAAAAGATTAAGGGGGAGAGAAGAGGCCTGGATACCAGTTTAGCTCAGCTGCTAAGTTGCTTTCTGATCTTAGTTTCTTAACTGTTTTCTAAAGCTGTTTCCTTAGTTAAAATGAGAGACAGTGTTAACCTAAATAATCTCTAAGACGCCTCTCATCTCTGATATTCTCTGAGCCTGCAGAGCGGTAGTCACCTGATTTCAGAAGTGCCTTTTCCCAAGTGGCTGCCACTTTACGCCCCTGTCCATAACCAGAGCCTAAGATGCTGGGAGGAGACAATAGAGGGAGGCAGTGCTAAGCTCCACCAAGACTCAGAGCATATTTCTGGTGGAAAACATGTTGATGAAAGGTCAAAGAACAGGAGGAGATGAAAGAGAAGAAATGGAAAAGCAGACAGCTGAGAGTCTTGCTTCCTTAACCTTGAAAGGGAACATAAGGTCCTCGTTTAAACAATCCTTCTTCTTTAATCACCCACACCCTGTTGAATCCAGCACTCCAAGCATGCCAGCACCCACCATGTAGCCAGCCTTCTGTGCTTCCCCACGCAGAATCTCTAACTTCCCACTCACAGCTGTTCCCCATCGTGCCTCCCATCTTTCAACACAAGCCTGTTTGCCCAAGGCAGGGTGCCTTAGATCAATGATTTTCTGATCACAGCATCCAACAGAATCATCTGTCAAGCTTGTTAAGCATACTGATTCATGGGCCCAGTCCCCAGATATTCTGAAGTGGTGGGTTTGGGGTGATGTCCTGGAAACTGAATGTTTGACACACACAGGAGGACTCTGATGTAGCTGGCCCTTGAGCTATACTCTGAGAAGTGCAACCTCAAATCAACTGCCCAGGAGTTCTTTGACTGCGCAAGAAAACCCTCAGCTTTTCAAAATGTGTTTGTAAAATCACTACTTGTGAGTCCTTTCCCTCAGTGGAAAGATGCTATTTCTATTTTTAAAATCTTCTATTTTTATTTGGCAACTCGTTCTATCCTAAAGTTTTACAAGCTGCTATATAAATGCAGTATTATATGCATGTCTATATATAGTTATACATATACAGAAATAATATACACCCTCCCTGAACATTCTATTTATAGTTTAGAAATGTAACATGTATCTATTTATACAAAAGTGTCTGCCTGTGCTCACATGTGCTACACATGGGAAATTTAAACTTAATAATAAACTTTTATTGAAAATGTATTATATAGATATATAGAGCATTTTATCTGTGGTGTGCACAGGTATATATTTATAGGAAGTTAATAGTTATTGTTTATTTGATGTATAATATCCATCACTTTCTAATTGATTGATGATATTTAACTAATAATCCACTGTGCTGCTAATGACTACAGGAAGGAAGAAACTATGGAAAGAAGAAAGGAAATAAAGAGCATGAAGGTAGTGTGCCAGGGACTTTGAGAGATTATATCTCATTGATCAAGTAAACCATTGTACTTAGCCTAAAAAAGCTCCTCCTTCAGCCGTAGAAAGTAAATATAATAATGCAAGCATTTCTTTTGTAGAAGGATGCACACAGCACTACAGGAGAACAGAAAAAGACAAAATTATATTTTGGGTGGAAGGCTGGAAGCTTTGTGATGGCTTTACTAAGGTGTGGCCTTTTTGTCTGATCTCTAAGGATGTACACGCCTGCATGCCAGGCACTATTCCAAGCGCTAGAATCCAGGGATGAACAGGACCAAATTCGTGCCCCCGTGGAATTCCACCCTTGTAGGGGAAAATAAGATAGGTGAGAGATAGCCTAAAAACAACAACAACAACAAAACAATGATCCCGTTTGTTGTAAGTAAACGAGAGAATATAAACAAGGGCTTGAGGGAGAGAAAAATAGTTTTCTTAAGACTGTTGTCCAGGCTGGAGGGCAGTAGTGCTATCATAGCTCATTGCAGCCTCAGCCTCCTGGGTAGCTGGGACTATGGGTCCATGACACCATATCAGGCTAGAGGACAATAATTTTGAGGGTCGAAAAGGTATTCAGTTTACTGGTGAACTAGGCAGGAGATAGATAAAGATGAGTCTTACAAATGAAGGTAAAGTTGTTTTGTTTTCTTTTCTAAATACCCTTAGAGTTAGTAGTAAGTCATTAACAGAGTTCATGTAGACAGGCACGTGATCAGAGCAGTGGCACCTGAGATGATGGGGGCTTGGACAAAAGTAGTAGCAATGGAAATGGAAAGAAGTGAGTGGATTCAAAACAGATTTTAAAGAATGGTTGGCGATACTAAAATAGGGAAGAAAAATGTTTAGGGAGAAAAATCAAGATTTGATGCAATCTTATATTTATGGTGATGTGGCAAACATTTGTCAAACTTCTTGGCTTCTCAGGATATTTTACCCACTTTTTCTATATATGGCAATCGGGAAGTTCATTCACAAAAATTTCAGTTCTCCTCTTCTTCTGGGGACAGGATAGGGTTGCACTTTCCCGCCCTCTGTAGTTTTAGGCATGGTTAATGTGATTTGCTTTGGCAAATAAATTGCGAGTAGAAGTAATGTATGTTATTTCTAGGTGGAAGTTTTAAGATCCCTTTCACAATTTACTATGCCCCCTTTTTCTGTCTTGGTGATCACATGTTGAGATTGACACCTCTATCAGGTGACATTCCAGAATGTCCCAGATGCACAGAGCACCTTCCATCAGCTCCCTCTCCACTTGTTTTAGGACATTGAGATTTTCCGTTGTTGTTACTACAGCATAATCAAGACTGTCTGATTGACATATAATGTTTAGGGAATTTCCATCTATTTAGGTTCGGACTTTTCAAGCTAAAAGTCACAACTCTTCCCAGGTTTGCTTGCAGTAGAAGTATGTGAAGTGTATCACGTAGATGTTGACAATCAAATGCTTCTGCATGATGTTTGCATCTGAAAGAGATCCATGTGAAGATAGTGATTCTGTTGTGTCCATTAATGGTAGGGGTGAGTATTGGCCTTGGTCCCAGCAGCAGTACCTGTGGCTAGTGGTGGACCCTGAGGTGCTGCTGCCCTGTGATGGTTATGGCAGATTAGTCCAAATGTTAGTATGTTGCTTATTCCTGAATTTGCAGCTCTCATGCCAGGTACTCCGGCTCTCAGAGATTCTATGAGCTACATTATATACTTAATACCTTCCTACCGAAGTAGCTATAGAAGGTTCTGTTTGCCACCATGAACCCTCAGTAACAGAGATGCCTATAAAAATATTAATGGAAATGCTGAGTGGACAATTATATATACAAGTTTAGACTTTGGGTCATGAGATATAAATTCTGGTTAGGTGCTTGATAAAATATTTCAGTGACAAAATTTATAGAAACATGGGGTTAAACAAAAATAAGCTTTAAAAAATTCACTGTTTCTCAAATTTCTTAGTATGTAAATGCATATTGTGACTTTCCAGAACATTGAGACCTAGAATTCCTTGAAACAGAGTTTGGGTAATGGAGGTATCCATATATTTTGTTAAGTTTTATGCTTTAAATTTATAGAATCTGAGAAATAAATACCTTTAGTAGCAAATGATTTGCTGACTGGTCAATTTTACCATGAACCTTGTTGGTATATAGAAATATGTTAGAGAAAAACTCTATTAAACTGCATATTTTCCCTCAGAGATAGATTCAGTGAACCCCACTGAATACAGAGTTTTTATCATCTGTGCTAGACCCCATATGAGGAACAAGCCTGACTGAAATATGAATTCTCCCGTCAAAGACATTCTAAGTCTCTTAAGAAGGGTTAGACAGGAATAAATATAACATAAAGGAATACTCATCTCCAAAAGGCAGTTAGGTAAAGCCCATTGGGAGTTTTGAGTTAGGAGAGAGTCCTCGCAGCTGGAGGTCACCTTTAGTTAGATGACAGGATTTCTGATCACCCTCTCCTGCCGTGGCTAGCCCCATCTAGCTTGTAAAGTGGGAGTCTGTTTTAAAGTAACTTGGCTGTCTGCCCCGGTGGAAATTCTCATTTCTCCATCAGCCTGTACAATAAACAAATATGCTTTATGTGCTGCTTTTGTGCGTATAGTATCTGTATGAAACATGGCCTTGGGCCTCTTGAAAATGCAATTATAAAATTTTATAGAGGATAATGGTTCCCAGAATGCTGCACCCCATCTTCTTCACTCAAACAAGTTTTATGCACTATATGCAGGTTTAGCAATAATTGACATCTCCTTGCAGAAATAGATCTAACCCCTGACTATTAAGTATTTTAAAATACAGAATAGAATTGCTGTCGAAAAAATATATTCTTGCCAGAGGCAGCTTTGCAAAGAAGTGCCACGGTGAGGTTGAGAAAGAAGAGCTGCTCAGGGTGGGGTGACTAGCCATCCGGCCAAGCTTCCACCAGGGGCATTTTTCTAACATTATGATTTCCTATCCAGGTTGATGGAGTGCCTCCCCCATTTAATCAGGTCTTATTTTCCGTTCTCTAATAGGGTTTTAAATTTTTCTCTAGAGAAGACTTAAAAATTCTTTATCAAAGTAACTCTTAGATGCTTTATAATTTCTGGTAGAACTGCAAATTTTATCTTAATTTGTTCACTGCTGATTATTGCTACAGTGGAAATGTGCTATTTTTCCCATTTATTATTTTAAAATGTAGTAAAATATACATAACATAAAAGTGATTGTTTTAACCACTTTTAGGTTAAAGTTTAGTGGCATTAGGTATTTTTACATTGTTGGACAATCATTACTACTGTCCGTATCCAGAACTTTTGTCATCTTACAAAAATCTGGTTATGGACCCATAAAATAATAGCTCCCTATTCTGCTCTTCTTTCAGCCTGCGGCAACCACCATTTTACTTTCTGTCTCTATGAATTCAAGTACTCTAAGTACCTCATATAGACCAGAATCATACAATATATGGCCTCATGTGACAGGTTTATTTTACTTAGCACAATGTCTTTAAGCTTCATAATGTTCTACCATATGTCAGAATTTCCTTACTTTTTAAATTGATTAATAGTCCATTGTAAGTATACATTTGTTTAGCCATTCATCCATTGATGAACATTTGAATTGCTTCCACCTTTTGGCTATTGGGAATAACACTGCTATGTACATGGCTGTACAAATATCTGTTTGTGTCTCTGATTCAGATTCCTTTGGGTGTGTACCCCAAAGTGGAATTTGCTGCATCACATGCTAATTATATTTTTGATATTTTGAGAAATTGCTATGCCGTTTTCTACAGTGGCTATATTGTTTTACATTCCCACCAGCAGTGGACAATTGTTTTGGATTCTCCACATCCTCACCAACACTTATTTTCCCTTCTCCTTCCTTCCTTCCTTCCTTCCTTCCTTCCTTCCTTCCTTCCTTCCTTCCTTTCTTCCTTCCAATAGTACACATCCTAGTTGGCATGAAGTATCACATTGTGGTTTCGATGCATTTTCCTAATAATTAGTGATGTTGAGTATCTTTTCATGTGCTTACTGAGAAATCATATCTTTGGAGAAATGACTATTCAAGTTATTTGTCTATTATTGAATCAATGGTTTTTTTATTGTTGCAATTTTTGAGTATCTCTATTCTGCACATTAATCTCTTTTCTGATATGTGACTTGCAAAATTTTTCCCGATTTTGTGGGTTGCCTTTTTACTTTTTTGAGTGTCCTTTGATGTACAAAATAGTTGATTTTTTAAAAGTCCACTTTATTTTTTGTTTTGTTGCCTATGCCTTTGAATCATTGCTAAATTCAATGTTGTGAAGCTTTCCCCCATGTTTTCTTCTAAGAGTATTATAGTTTTAGCTCTTATGTTTAAGTATTTGATCAATTTGAGTTAATTTTTGCATATAGTGTTAGGTAAAGGTGCAATTTTATTTTTTGAGTGTGGCTATACACTTTTGCCATCAACATTTATTGAAGACTGTCTTTTCCCTATTGAATAATCTTGGAATCCTTGCGAAAATCATTTTACCATCTATGCAAGGGTTTATGTGTGGGCTGTCTATTTGATTCCATCGATCTATTTGTTTGTATTTATGCTGCCTTTCCCATATTGTTGTGAATATTGTAGCTTTCTAATAAGTTTTGAAATAAGGAAGTGTAAGTTCTTACTTTATTCTTCCTTTTCAAGATTGTATTGGCTATTCAACACCTTTTGGGAGTCCATATGAATTTAAGAATGTAGTTTTCTATTTCTGTAAAAACTTAGTTGATATTTTGATAGGGATTGCTTTGCATTGGAGGTCATTTTGGGTAGTATTGACGTGGTAGCAATATTAAGTCTTCTAATCCATGAACATAGAAAACAATTTCATTTATTTGTATCTCTGCCACTTTCAGCAGTTTTGTATTTTTCATTTTACAAGTCTTTCATCGCCCTGGTTAAGTTAATTACTAAGTTTTATGTTGTTTTTGATGCTATTGTAAATGGAATTGTTTCCTTAATTTTCTTTTAGGATTGTTTATTGTAGGTGTATAGAAATGCAATTGATTTTTATGTTCATTTTATATCCTACTACCTTCCTGAATTTGGTTACTAATTCTAACAGTTTTCTCTTGTGGAATCTTTAGTGTTTTCTACATATAAGATTACATATCTGCAAACAGAGATAATTACACTTCTTCCTTTCAAATTTAAATGCCTTTTATTTCCCTTTTTAGCCTGTTTTTTCCTACTAGTACTTCCAATGCTCTGTTGACTAGAAGTGGAAAAAGTGTACATTGTTGTCTTCTTGACCTTGGAGGAAAAGCTTTCAGTCTTTCATAGTTGAATGTGATAATAGATGTGAATTTTTCCATTATGGTTTTTATTATGCGAAGGTAGTTTCCTTCTATTTCTACTTTGTTGAGTGTTTTATTTAATCATAAAGTGTTTAATTTTGTCAAATCCTTTTTCTGCATCAATTGAGATGATCTTTTTTTTTCCATTCATTTTGTTAATGCAGTATATTACATCGATATATTTTTGTATGTTGAGCCATGCTTGCATTGCCATAATAAAAATCCCACTTGGTATGGTGTACAATAATTTTAATATGTTACTGAAGTTGGTGTACTGATATTTGAGGATTTTTGAATCCATGCTTAAAAAATATATTGGTCTGTACTTTTCTTACAGCGTCTTTTCCTGGCTTGGCTATCAGGGGATTACTGACCTTACAGAATGAGTTAGAAATTGTTCCCTCCTCTTCAACTTTTTTTTGGTAAGAGTTTCAAAAGGATTAGTGTTAGTTCTTTTAAAAATATTTGGTAGAATTTACAAGTAAAGCCATCAGGTCCAGGGCTTTTCTTTGCTGGGTTGATTCAATTTCCTTACTACATACAGTTCTATTCAGACGATCTATGTCTTTGTTATTTAGTCTTGGTAGGCTTTGTATTTCCAGGAATTGGGCCATGTCAACTAGGATATACAGTTTGTTGCTGTAATATTATTCATATTACTTTCTTATAATCCTTTTTAACTCTATAGAATCAGAAGAAATGACTTTGCTTTCATTTCTCATTCTATTGAGTCTTATATATCTTTGTCATAGTCAACCTAGCTAAAGTTTTTCAAAGAACCAATGTTTGTTTTGTTTATCCTTGTATTGTTTTTCTACTCTCTTTAATTTATCTCCACTCTAACCTTTACTTATTTCCTTCCTTCTGCTAGCTTCAGAATTTGTTTGATTAACTTACTCTTGTTCCATAAGTTTTAAAGTTTGGTAGTTGATTTGAGGTCTTTTTTTTTTTTAAATTCAAGTATTTTTAGGTATAAGTTCTTCCATTAGCACTTATTTTGCTGTGTCCCCAAAGTTTTGGTATGCTGTTTTCATTTTCATTCATCTCTTAAAACTTTCTAATTTCTTTTGTCGTTTCTTCTTTGACCTTTTGGTTGTGTAAGAGTGTGTTAATTTCCACAAATTTGTGAATGTTTCAGTCTTCTTTCTGTTACTGATTTCTAACTTCATCCTATTGTGGATGGAGAAGATACTTTGTATGATGTCTGTCTTTTAAAATCTATCCAGTTTTGTTTGTGATCTAATATATGGTCTATCCTCAAGAATGTCCCATGCACAGTTGACAAGAATATGTATTCTCTGGTCTTTGGGAAGAGTGTTCTATGTATGTCTGTTAGATCTAGTTAGTTTATTGTGCTGTTCAGATTGCCTATCTCCTTGCTTATTTTTTTTTGTCTGGTTATTCTATCCATTATTGAGAGTGGAGTATTTAAGTCCCCAGCCGTTATTGTAAAGAATCTATGTTTCCATTCAATTATGTGAATTTTTACTTCATACAAGATGGTCTATTATTATGTGTGTACAAGTTCACAATTGTTATATCTTCTTGCTGTATTGAATATTTTATTAATATATAATGTATTTATCTCTTATAACAATTTTTTGATTTATGTATTTCCAACTTTTATTTTAGGTTGAAGGGGTGCATATGCAGGTTTCTTACATGGGTAAATTGTGGTCGCGGGGGTTTGGTGTACAGATAATTTTGTCACCAGGTAATTGGCATAGTACCTAACTGGTATTTTTTTTTTAATATTACCCCTCTCCCACCCTCCACCCTCAGGTAGCGCCTAGTGTCTATTATCCCCTTCCTTCTGTTCATGTATGCTCAATGTTTAGCTTCCACTTGTAAATGAAAACATGTGGTATTTGGTTTTCTGTTTTTTCATTAATTTGCTTAGAATAATGACCTCCAGCTCCACCTATGTGGCTGCAAAAGACACAGTTTCATTCTTTTCTATGACTGCATAGTATTCCGTGGTGTATATGTACATTTCCTTTATCCAATCCATCATTGATGGACATCTAGGTTGAGTCCATGTCTTTGCTATTGTGAATAGTGCTGTGATAAACTTACATGTGCATGTGTCTTTATGGTAGAAAAATTTATACTTCTTTGGATACATACCCAACAATGGGATTGCTGTCTCAAATGGCAATTCTGTTTTTCGCTCTTTGAATAATTTCCTAACCGATTTCCCCAGTGGCTGAACTAATGTGCATTTGCACCAACAGAGTGTAAGTGTTACCTTTTGTCTGAAACCTAGCCAGCATTTGTTACTTTTTGACTTTTTAACAGTAGCCTTCTGACTGATGTGAGATGGTATTTCATTATGGTTTTGATTTGCATTTCCCTAATGATTAGTGATAATGAGCATTTTTATATGCTTATTAGCTGCATGTATGTCTTTTTTTGAGAAGTGTCTGTTGAAATCCTTTGCCCATTTTTTGATGTGGTTGTTTGTTGATTTAAGTTCCTTATAGATTCTGGATATTATACATTTGTCAGATGCATAGTTTGCAAATATTTTCTTCCATACTGTAGGCTCTGTTTACTCAATTGATAGTTTCTTTTGCTGTGCAGAAGCTCCCTAGTTTAACTAGGTCCCATTTGTCAATTTTTCTTTTTGTTGCAATTGCTTCTGGAATCTTTGTCACAATGTCTTTGCCAGGGCTATGTCCAGAATGGTATTTCCTAGGTTTTCTTCTAAGGTTTTATAGTTTTAGGGTTTACATTTAAATATTTAATTTATCTTGAGTTGATTTATGTATATGGTGTAAGGAAGGCATCCAGGTTCAATCTTCTGCATATGGCTAGCCAGTTAACCCATTTATTAAATAGGAAGTCCTTTCCCCATTGCTTGTTATTTTTGGGTTTGGTGAAGATCAGATAGTTGTAGGCGTGTGGCTTTATTTCTGGGCTCTCTATTCTGCTCCATAAGTCTATGTGTCTGCTTTTGTACCAGTACCATGCTGCTTTAGTTACTGTAGCCTTGTAGCAAAATTAGATAGTGTGATGCCTCTAGCTGTGTTCTTTTGTCTTGGAATTGCCTTGGCTATTCCAGTTCTTTTTGATTCCACATAAACTATAAAATGATTTTTTCTAATTATGTGTAAAATGTCACATAATTAGATTGACAGGAATAGCGTTGAATCTATAAATCGCTTTAGGTAGTAGGGCCATTTTAATAACATTGATTCTTCCTATCCATGAGCATGGAATGCCTTTTCCATTTGTTTGTGTCATTTCTGATTTCTTTGAGCAGTGTTTGAATTTATTATTGTAGAGATCTTTCACCTCTCTGGTTAGCTGTATTCCTAGGAATTTTATTATTTTTGTGGCTATCGTGAATGGGATTGCATTCCTGATTTGACTCTCAGCTTGAATGTTACTGATGGATAGTAATCACAGTGATCGTTGTACATTGATTTTGTATCCTGAAACTCTGCTGAAGTTGTTTAACAGATCTAGGAGCATTTGGGCAGATACTAAGGGGTTTTCTAAGTGTAGAATCACGTCATCTGTGAAGAAGGAGATAGTTTGACTTCCTATTTGATACCTTTAATTTACTTTTCTTGCCTGATTCCTCTGGCTAGGACTTCCAGTGCTATGTTGTATAAGAGTGGTGAAAGAAAGCATCTTTTTTTGTACCTGTCTTTAAGGGGAATGATTCCAGCTTTTGCCCATCAGTATGATGCCGGCTGTCAGTTTGTCACAGATGGCTCTTATTATTTTGAGATATGTACATTCGATGACTAGTTTGTTGAGGGTTTTTTACATAAAGTGATGTTGAATTTTATTGAAATACTTTTCTGTGTCTATTGAGATGATCATGTGGTTTTTGCTTTCAGTTCTATTTACATGATGAATCATATTTATTGATTTGCCTATGTTGAATCAACCTTGCACCCCAGAAATAAAGCCTATTTGATCACGGTGGATTAGCTATTTAATGTGTTGCTGAATTTGATTTGCTAGTATTGTGTTGAGGATTTTTGCATCTATGTTCATCAAAGGTATTGGTCTGAGGTTTTCTTTTTTCATTGTGTCTCTGCCAGGTTTTGATACTAGAATGATGCTAGCATTGTGTTGAGGATTTTTGCATCTATTTTCATCAAAGGTATTGGCCTGAGGTTTTCTTTTTTCATTGTGTCTCTGCCAGGTTTTGATATTAGAATGAGTTAGGGAAGAGTCCCTCTTTCTTATTTTTTTGAAATAATTTCAGTAGGATTGGTACCAGCTCTTCTTTATATGACTGGTAGAATTTGGATGTAAATCCTTCTGGACGAGGGCTTTTTCTGGTTGGTAGATTTTTTTATCACTGATTCAATCTTGGAACTTGTTATTGGTCTGTTCAGGGTGCCAATTTCTTCCTGATTCAATTTTGGGAGGTTGTATGTTTCCAGGAATTTATCAACTTTTTTTCTAGGTTTTTTAGTTTGTGTGCGTAGAGGTGTTCATAATAGTCTCTGAGGGATTTTTGCATTTCTGTGGGGTTGTTGGTAATTTCCCCTTTGTCATTTCTGATTGTGTTTATTTAGAACTTCTCTTTTTTTCTTTATTAAACTAGCTAGGGGTCTATCAATCTTATTTCTTCTTTCAAAGAATCAACTTTTGGTTTTGTTCATCTTTTGTATGGTTTTCCTCATCTCCATTTCATTCAGTTCAGCTCTGATTTTAGTTATTTGTTTTCTTTTGCTAGCTTTAGGCTTGGTTTGCTCTTGTTTTTCTAGTTCCTCTAGTTGTAATATTAGGTTATTAATTTGAGATCTTTCCAACTTTTTGATGTGGCTGTTGAGTGCAATAAACTTTCTTCTTAACACTGCTTTGGATGTGTCCAAGAGATTCTGGTATGTTATATCTTTGTTTTCATTTGTTTCAAAAAATTTCTTGATTTCTGCCTTAATTTCATTATTTACCTGAAAGTCATTCAGGATCAGATTATTTGATGCCCATTTAATTGTATGGTTTAGAGAGATATTCTCTGTATTGATTTCTATTTTTATTGTACTCTGGTCTGAGAGTGTTGTTCATTTGATTTTGTTTATTTTTTTTTAGTATGTTGAGAATTGTTTTGTGGCTGAATGTCTGGTCAATTTTAGAGTATGTGCAATGGATAGATGAGAAGAATGAATGTCCTATTTTTTGTTGGGTGGAGTGTTCTGTCCATTTGGTCAAGTGTCAAGTTTAAGTCCTGAATATCTTTGTTAGTATTTTCCCTTGATCTGTCCAATATTGTCAGTGGTGTGTTAAACTCATATATAACCATTATGTGGTTATATGTCTCTTCATTTGTTTTTAAGAACTTGTTTTATGAGTCTGAATACTCCAGCACTGGGTGCATATATATTTAAGATAGATAAGTCTTCCTGTTGAATTGAACCATTTATCATTATGCGATACCCTTCTTTTTCCTTTTTGATCATTGTTGGTTTAAAGTCTGTTTTGTCTGAAATAAGATTAGCAACCCCTGCTCTTTTTTTGTTTTCCATTTTCTTGACAGATCTTTCTCCATCCCTTTACTTTGAGCCTGTGGGTGTCCTTGTATGTTAGATGGGTCTCTTGAATACAACACAGAGTTGGGTCTTGCTTCTTTATCCAACTTGCCACTCTGTGCCTTTTAAGTGAGATGTTTAGCCAGTTTATGTTCAAGGTTAATATTGATATGTGCAGAGTTGATCTTGTCATCATTGTATTGATAACTGGTTGTTATGTAGACTTGATTGTGGGTTTGCTTTATAGTGTCAATGGTCCTATGTACTTAAGTGTGTTTTTGTGATGGCCAATAATGGTCTTTTGTTTTCATGTTTGGCACTCCCTTAAGGACCTCTTGTAAGGAAGATCTGTTGGTAATAAATTCCCTTAGCATTTGCCTTTCTGAAAAGTATTTTATTTTTCCTTCTCTGATGAAACTTAAGATTAGTTTGGCTAAATATGAAATTCTTGGTTAGAATTTTTCTTCAAGAATGCTAAATATAGGCCCACAATATTTCTGGCTTTTAGGGTTTCTACTTAATTGCCTGCTGTTAGCCTGATGAGATCCCTATGTAGGTGACCTGCCCCTTTTCTTTAGCTGCCTTTAATCTTTTTTATTTCATGTTGATCTTGGAGAATCTGATAATCACATGTCTTGGGGATAGTCATCTTGTACAGTATCTTGCAGGGGTTCTCTGCATTTCCTGAATTTAAATGTTGTCATCTCTAGTGAGGCTGGGGAAATTTTCATGGATAGTATCCTCAAATATGCTTTCCAAATTGCTTGCTCTCTCTCCCTGTCTTTCAGGGACACCAATGAGTTGTTGATTTGGCCTCTTTACATAATCTCATTTCTCAGAGCTTTTGTTCAGTTTTTAAAATTCTTGTAAATTTTTGTCTGAGTTAATTTGAAGGACCTTTCTAAAAGCTCTGAGATTCTTTCCTCAGCTTGGTCTATTCCGCTGTTAATACTTCCAATCGAGCTATGAAATTCTTACAGTGAGTTTTTCAGCTCTATCTCTTGGTTTGGTTCTTTCTTAAAATGGCTCTTTTATCTTTCATTTCTTGAATTGTTGAATCTGGATTTTTTAGATCCCTTGGAATGGGTTTCAACTTTCTCCTGAATCTCTATGATCTTTGTTGCCATCCAGATTCTGAATTCTATTTCTGTCATTTCAGCCATTTCATTCTGGTTAAGAACCATTGCTGGGGAGCCAGTTGTTTGGAAGTAAGGAGACATTCTTGCTTTTAGAGCTGCCAGAGTGCTTGTACTGCTTCATTCTCATCTGTGTGGGCTGATAGTTCTTTTTAATTTTATTTTACTTTATTTTATTATTTTATTTTTGAGACAGAGTTTCACTCTGGTTGCCCAGGCTGGAGTGCAATGGCACAATCTCGGCTCACTGCAACCTCCGCCTCCTGGGTTCAAGCAATTCTCCTGCCTCAGGCTCCTGAGTAACTGGGATTACAGGCACCTGCCACCATGCCCCGCTAATCTTTTTTTGTATTTTTAGTAGAGACGCTGTTTCACCATGTTGGTCAGGCTGGTCTTGAACTCCTGACCTCCTGACTCAGGTAATCCACCTCGGCCTCCCAAAGGGGCTGATGGTTTTTTAACTGTTAATGTAATTTGAGTACAGTCAGTTAGCTTCATTTCTGGATGTTTTCAGAGGGCTGAGGTGTTGTGAAGGGACATTATTTGTGGCTGAATTGTTGTCCTTGGTTTCATAGGAGCATATATTAGCGAAGTATTTTTGGTGTTGATGTTTGGGCTGCAATCCAGTAGATGGAGCTGAAGTGTAATGGCTGGTAGACAGGCTCCTCTGTATTTCCTTGCAATTGCAGCTGTGCTCCCTCTCAATGCTCTGAGAGTGTATGTTCCTCTCCCAGATTTAGGCTTGGCACTCGTGGGCTGTGCACTGCAGCCTTGGGGTGAGCTCAGGCTTTCTGCTTTTTTCCTCAGCTTGGCAGAAGCAGGTGTGGGGACTTTAGCAGTGGCAATGGCAGAGGGTCTTTCCCTTTCTCTTGGGGCTCCATCCCAGAGAAACACAGAGCAACTACCAATCGGAAGGATCACCAAGAGTGGGGCAGCTGCACTGTGGGCCCAAGCCAGGGAGTCTTGCCTCTTAAAGAGCAGGTGAGGTGGAGGGACTCATGGGGAAGCCAGTCTGGCCTCTTCTCCAAAAGTGCCTGCAGCATGCTGGAGTGTGAGCAAAGCACCCAGGCTCTTTGTTCCTTCCCCAGCCTGGTGGCAGCAAAGGCAGGTACTACTGCAGTGGCAGAGGTGAGGCAGAGGGGATTTCAGATGCCTCTTTGAACTTCACCCCAGAGAAACATAAAGCCACTGCCAATGGGAATGTTCAGCTGGGGAAGTGGGGGTGGCTGTACTGTGAGCCTGAGCTGGAGGCCCTGCCTGGTGAACAGCAGGGGGTCAAGGGCTCATAGAGAAGAGAGACTGATTTCCTCTCTGTATGGTGGCTGTGTCATGCTGGAGGTGCCAGCAAAGCAACCAGGGTCTTTATTCATTCCCTAGCCCAAGGGCAGCAAGGGCGATACCACTGCAGTGGCAGTGGCAGAGGGGCTGTCTGTCGCTTCTGGGAGCTCCACTCAGAGAAACAGAGCCACTGCCAATGGGAATGTTCAAGCAGGGGCAAGGCAGCTGCACTTTGGACCCATGCTAGAGGCCCTTGCCTGGTGAAGAGCAGGGGGCCAGGGGCTCACAGGAGAGACTGGGCTCCTCTCCTATGGCGCCTGTTGTGTGCTGGAGGTGCCAGCAAAGTGATTGGGCTCTTTGTTTTTCCCCCAGCCCCAGGGCAGCAAGGGCAGAAGTGCTGCCATGGCAATGGCAGAGGGGCTGTCAGTTACCTCTGGGAACTCCACCAGAGAGACACAAAACCACTGCCGATTGAAACCTTTAGAGGTGGAGTGACTGCACTGTGGGCCCAAGCTGGGGATCCTGCCTGTCAAGTGCAGGCAGCCAGGGGCTCACAGGGAAGTGAGATCAGGCTCCTCTCCATATGGCAATTGTGGCTTGCTGGAGGTGCCAACAAAGTCATCTGGGTCTTTATTCTTTACCCGGCCCAAGGACAGGAAGGGCCGGACCACAGCAGTGGAATTACAGAGAGCCTGTGGGTTGTCTCTAGGATGTCCTCCCCAGAGAAATGCAGAGCCACCACCAAATGAAGTGATCAGGCAGGGGCAGAACGGTTGTGCTGGAGGCCCCATGTGGGGAGGCCCTGCCCAGTGAGGAGTGGCAGGCAAAGGGATCCATGTGGAAAACAGTCTGGCTGCTTTTCCATAAAGCAGCTGTAGTGTGCTGGAGGCCTGCAATAGTTCTTGTGCTCTTTGCTCCCTCCCTAGCCTGAGGACAGTAGGGGCAGGGGCTCTGGCAGCAGAAAAGTGGTGGGCCTGTCGATTACCTCTGGGAACTCTGTCCCAAAGAAATGCAGAGCTGCTACTAGCCCAAATGCTCAGACAGGGGTGAGGTGGCTACACTGGGGTCCCAGGGAAGTAGGCTTTGCCTGTCCATGTGTAGCGGAGGTGAGGTCTACAGTTCGTCTGCTCCTCAGCATCGTGGACATGGCTCCTATCCTAGGGCCACATGAGAGATCCTCACCTCCTTTGTTGGTGGAGCTGTGGCAGCTGGCACCAGGGCCCTCAGGAGTCCAAGGCCCTTGTGGCTCCCCATGGGCCTGAGTAGTGACTCTGCCCAGACTGCATGCAGAGTGTCAGTCTGGAGGTCCCAGGGAGAAGAGGTCAGGGGAGATCTCCTGTGCCCAGAATTGCAACAGTCCATGGTAGAAGTGTAGGTCCCCGGGGACTCTCACTTACCAAAGGAGGTGGGAAGACACCGTTGACTCTATGCCAATCCCAGGTGGGTGGGTGTCCTGTCTTGCTCCTCTCCACTCTCTGTGAGTCATGTTGCTTCTTTAATGAATCTCAATGGGTCCTCCAGAACTATCCAGTTGAAGAGCTGGTGTTTACTGGTCACTCTGTCTCCTTTCTGTAAGAGTGACGCACAGTAGCTGCTTCTAGTCAGCCGTCTTGCCATTGGTTCCCCAAGTTTTTGATTTAAAGTCTGTTTTGTCTGATATTAGTATAGCTACCCTGCTATCTTTTGGTTACTATTTGAATGGAATATATTTTTCCATTCCTTCCTTTTCAACCTATTTGTGTCTTTGGATCTACAATGAGTCTCTTGTAGACAGCATATAGAGAAATTTTTAAAATCTATTCTTCCAGTTTCTGTCTATTGATTGGTAAATTTAATTCATTGACATTTAAATAAATTATTGGTAGGGAGGAATATAATTGTTATTTTACTGGTGTTTCCATATACCTTATAGCATTTTGTCCTTTATTTTCTGAATTACTGTCTTCTTGTGTGTTTAGTTGGTCTTTTGTAGTAAAATGTTTTAATTTCCTTCTTCTTTCCTTTTGTGTATAATCTATAGCTATTTTTAATTGCATATATTTAAGGTGTACAACAAGATGCTTTAACATAGTTAATTGATTACCACAGTCTAGAAAATTAACACAGTTAATTGATTACTACAGTCTGGAAAATTAACACAGCCACCATCTCACACAGTTATCTTTCTTTTTTTGTGTGTGGTAAGATTAGCTAAAATTTACTCCTTTAGTAAATTTCCAGCATACAGAGCAATATTATTAATGATAGGTCTCATGTTATACATTAGATACCTAGACTTATTCTATATAACTACATACAACCTCGTACACTTTAAACTACATCTTCCTATTTTCTGCACCCCGGTAGCCACCATTCTACACTCTGTTCTATGTATTCAATTTTTAAAAATATGCCACATATAAATGAGATCATGCAGTATTTGCCTTTCTGTGGCTGGCTTACTTCACTTAGCATAATGTCCTCTAGGTTCTTCCAATGAACTAAATGTCCCAAATGTCAAGATCTCCTTTTTCAAGGCTGAATAATATTCCGTTATATGTGTATACATTTGTGTGTGTCTGTATGTGTATAAAACAATTTTTTAATTCATATATTCATTGATAGACAAATTTGGTTATTTCCATATCTTGGCTATTGTGAATAATGCTGCAGTGAATATGGGAGTACAGACATCTTTACAAGGGGGTGATTTGCTTTCCTTAGGGTATCACTGTTTTCTTTTCAGTTGCCATGAAGATTACATTGAACATCCTAAAAGTGTAACATTCCAGTTTGAGTTTGTACCAACTTAACTTTAATAACATACACAAATTCTGCCACTTTATAGGTAGGTCCATCTTCACCCTTTTTCAGTTATTAGTGTCAGAAATTATATCTTTATGCATTTTATGTCCAAAACCATAAACAACTGTTTTTATGCATTAGTCTCTAATTCATGTAGAAAACAAACAAAAGAGTAACAAACCAAAGTTACAATACTACTAGCTTTGTAATTATTTATGTATTTACCTTTACCATAGATTTTTATTTCTTTACATGACTTCACATTTGTGTCTAATATTCTTTCATTTCTCCATAAAGAACTCCCTTTAGCATTTTGTGAATGGCTGGTCCACTGGTAATAAATTCTCTCAGCATTTTTGCAATTAAAAATGTTTTTAGTTCTTACCATATGATTTTTAGTAGATTTTGCTTTTTAAAGCAATTTTAAGTTCACAGGAAAATTAATCAGAAAGTACAGAGCATTCTTATATCTCCCCTGCCCCCACATATGCAAAACCTCCCGCAATATTGACATCCCACACGACAGTGGCACATTTGTTAAAGTCAATGAACCCGGCTGGGCGTGGTGGCTCATGCTTGTAATCCTAGCACTTTGGGACGCTGAGGCAGGTGGACCACTTGAGGTCAGGAGTTCAAGACCAGCCTGACCAACATGGTGAAACCTCGTCTCTACTAAAAATACAAAAATTAGCTGGGTGAGGTGGCGGGCAACTGTAATCCTATTTACTCGGGAGGCTGAGACAGGCGAATCGCTTGAACCTGGGAGGTGGAGGTTGCAGGGAGCCGAGATCGCACCGCTGCACTCCAGTCTGGGCAACAGAGTGAGACCCTGTCCCACCACCACCCCAAAAAAATAAATGAACCCACACTGATATATCATTATCACTCAAAGTCCATAGCTGACATTAGGGTTCACTCTTGGTGTTGTACATTCTATGGGTTTTTGACAAATGAATTCACCATTGTACTATCGCACAGAAAAGTTTTGTTTTCCTAAAAATCCTCTGTGCTTGCCTATTCATCCCTGTCTGCCTCATCCCATTACAACCACTTATCTTTTTACTGTCTCCATAGTTTTGCCTTTTCTGGAATGTCATATAGTTGAAATCATGCTGTATGTATGCAGTATTTTCAAATTGGCTTCTTTCACTTAGTAATATACATCCAGGTTTCCTCCACGTCTTTTCACGGCTTATTTCTTTTTAGTGCTAAATAATATTCCCTTGTCTGAATGGGTGATTCTTCCAGTTGATTTATCCATTCACCTACTGAAGGACATCTTGGTTGATTTCATATTTTGGCAACTATGAAAATGGATCTACAGTTGCTATAAAAATTCATGTGCAGGTATTTGTGTAGGCATACCATTTCAACTCTTTTGGATAAATAGTAAGGAGCATGATTGCTGGATTTTTATGGTGACAGTATAATTAGTTTTGTAAAAACTGTAAAACTGTCTTCCAAACTACTGGAAAATTTTGCATCCCCACCAGCAATAAGATTTCCTGTTGCTTCACATCATCAACAGCACTTGGTGTTTTGGCCATTCTAATAGGTATATAGTAGTATCTCATTGTTTTAATTTGCAATTTTCTAAAGTAACCTATGTTGTTGAACATCGTATTCTTTAAAAAAAATTTCTTTTTATTTCCGTAGTTACTGGGGAACAGGTGGTGCTTGGTTACATGAGTAAGTTCTTTAGTGGTGGTTTGTGAGTTTTTGGTGCACTCATCACCCAAGCAGTATACACTGCACCCTATTTGTAGTCTTTTATCCCTCACTCCCTTCCCACCATTTCCCCCTGAGTCCCCAAAGTCCATTATGTCATTCTTATGCCTTTGCATCCTCATAGCTTAGCTCCCACATATGAGTGAGAACATACAATGTTTGGTTTTCCGTTCCTGAGTTACTTCACTTAGAATAATAGTCACCAACCTCATCCAAGTTGTTGTGAATGCCATTAATTCCTTCCTTTTAATGGCTGAGTAGTATTCCATTATATATATATAAAAATTCCATCATATATATAAATATATAAAAAATATATAAATATACATATATATAAAAAACAGTTTCTTTATCCACTTTTTGATTGATTGATTGATTGATTGATGGGCATTTGGGTTGGTTCCACAGTTTTGCAATTGCAAATTATGGTGCTATAAACATGTGTGTGCAAGTATCTTTTTCATATAATGACTTCTTTTCCTCTGGGTAGATACCCAGTAATGGGATTGCTGAATCAAATGGTAGTTCTACTTTTAGCTCTTTAAGGAATCTCCACACTGTTTTACATAGTGGCTGTACTAGTTTACATTCCCACCAGCAGTGTAGAAGTGTTTCCTGTTCACTGCATCCACACCAACATCTACTATTTTTTGATTTTTTGATTTTTTGATTATGGCCATTCTTGCAAAAGTAAGGTGGTATCACATTGTTGTTTTGATTTGCCTTTCCCTGATCATTAGTGATGTTGATCATTTTTTTATGTTTGTTGGCCATTTGTATATCTTCTTTTGGGAATTGTCTATTCATGTTCTTCGCCCACTTTTTGATGGGATTGTTTGTGTTTTCTTGGTGATCTGAGTTCGTTGTAGATTCTGGATATTAGGCCTTTGTCAGATATATAGATTGTGAAGATTTTCTCCCACTCTGTGTGCTGTCTGTTTACTCTGCTGACTGTCCTTTTGCCATGCTCTTTAGTTTAATTAAGTCCCAGCTATTTATCTTTGTTTTTATTGCATTTGCTTTTGGGTTCTTGGTCATGAAATCCTTGCCTAAGCAAAGGTCCAGAAGGGTTTTTCCAATGTTATCTTCTAGAATTTTTATAGTTTCAGGTCTTAGATTTAAGTCCTTAATCCATCTTGAGTTGATTTTTATATAAGGTGAGAGATGAGGATCCAGTTTCATTCCCCTATATGTGGCTAACCAATTATCCCAGCACCATTTGTTGAAAAGGGTGTCATTTCCCCACTTTTTGTTTTTGTTTGCTTTGTCAAAGATCAGTTGTCTGTAAGTATTTGGGTTTATTTCTGGGTTCTCTATTCTGTTCCATTGGTCTATGTGCCTATTTTTATACCATTATCATGCTATTTTGGTGACTATGGCCTTATACTATAGTTTGAAATCAGGTAACGTGATGCCTCCAGAGTTGTTCTTTTGGCTTAGTCTTGCTTTGGCTATGTGGGCTCTTTTTTGGTTCCGTATGAATTTTAGAATTGCTTTTTCTAATTCTGTGAAGAATAATGGTGGTATTTTGAAAGGAATTGCATTGAATTTGTAGATGGCTTTTGGCAGTGTGGCCATTTTCACAATATTAATTCTACCTATCCATGAACGTGGGATGTGTTTCCATTTGTTTGTATCATCTATTATTTCTTTCAGCAGTGTTTTGTAGGTTTCCTTGTAGAGGTCTTTCACCTCCTTGGTTATGTATATTCCTAAGTATCTTATTTTTTTGCAGCTATTGTAAAAGGGGTTGAGTTATTGATTTGATTCTCAGCTTGGTTGTTACTGGTGTACAGAAGAGCTGCTAATTTGTGTACATTAATTTTGTACCTGGAAATTTTGCTGAATTCTTTTATCAATTCTAGGTGCTTTCTGGAGGAATTGTTAGGGTTTTCTAGGTAGACAATCATATCATCAGCAAACAGAGACAGTTTGACTTCCTTTTTACTCATTTGGATGTTCTTATTTGTTTCTCTTGTCTGATTTCTCTGACTAGGACTTCCAGTACTATGTTGAAGAGGACTGGTGAGAGTGGGCATCCTTGTCATGTTCCAGTTCTCAGAGAAAATGCTTTCAACTTTTCCCCACTCAGTATTATGTTGGCTGTGGGTTTGTCATAGATGGCTTTTATTACATTGAGTTATGTCCCTGGTATGCCGATTTTGCTGAGAGTTTTAATCATAAAGCGATGCTAGATTTTGTCAAATACTTTTTCTCTATCTATTGAGATGATCATGCAATTTTTGGTTTTGAATCTGTTTGTGTGGTGTATCACATTTATTGACTTGCATATGTTAAACCTTCCCTGCATCCCCGGTATGAAACCCACTTGATCATGGTGGATTATCTTTATGATATGCTGTTGGATTTGATTAGCTACTATTTTGTTGAGAATTTTTGCATCTATGTTCTTCAGGGATATTGGTGTGTAGTTTTCTTGTTCTGGTTATGTCCTTTCCTGGTTTTGGTATTAGGGTGATACTGGCTTCATTGAATGATTTAGGGAGGGTTCCTTCTTTCTCTATCTTGTGGAATAGTGTCAGTAGTATTGGTACCAATTCCTCTTTGAACATCTGGTAAAATTCTGCTGTGAATTGTCTGGTCCTGGACTTTTTTATGTTGGTATTTTTTTAATTGCCATTTCAATCTTGCTGCTTGTTATATAGGGTATCTAATTCTTCCTGATTTAAGCTAGAAGTGTTGCATCTTTCCAGAAATTTATACATCTGTTCTAGGTTTTCTAGTTTATGTGCATAAAGGTGATCATAGTAGCCTTGAATGATTTTTTGTATTTCTGTGGCATCAGTTGTAATGTCTCCCGTTTCATTTCTTATTGAGCTTTCTTATGGAGCAATCTCTTCTTTTCTTAGTTAATCTTGCTAGTGGTCTATCAATTTTATTTATCTTTTCAAAGAACCAGCTTTTTGTTTCATTTATATTTTGCATTGTTTTCTTTTTGTTTGTTTCAGATTCATTTATTTCTGCTCTGAACTTGGGTATTTCCTTTCTTCTGCTGGGTTTGGGTTTGGTTTGTTCTTGTTTCTCTAGTTCCTTGAGGTGTGACCTTAGATCGTCTGTTTGTGCTCTTGCAGACTTTTTGATGTAGGCATTTAGGGCTACGAGCTTTCCTGTTAGCACTGCCCTTGCTGTATCCCAGAGGTTTTGATAGGTTGTGTCACTATTGTTGTTCAGTTTGAAGAATTTTTAGATTTCCATCTTGATTTCATTTTTGACCCAATGATCATTCAGGAGCAGGTTATTTAATTTCCATGTATTTGCATGATTTTGAGGGTTCCTTTTGGAGATGATTTCCACTTTAGTCTGAGAGAATGCTTGATATAATTTCAATTTTCTTAAATTTATTGACACTCATTTTGTGGACTATCATATGATCTGTCTTGGAGAAAGTTCCATGCCATATTGAATAGAATGTATATTCCGTGGTTGTTGGATAGAATGTTCTGTGTATATCTGTTAAGTCCATTTGTTCCAAGGTATAGTTTAAATCCATTGTTTCTTTGTTAATTTTCTGTCTTCATGACCTGTCTAGTGCTGTCAGTGGGTATTGAATCCCCCACTATTGTTGTGTTGCTGTCTATCTCATTTCTCAGGTCTATTATTAATTGTTTTATAAATTTGGGAGCTCCAGTGTAAGGTACATGTATGTTCAGGATTGTGACATTTTCCTGTTGGACAAGGCCTTTCATCATTATATAATGTCCCTCTTTGTCTTTTTTAACTGCTGTTGCTTTAAAGTTGTTTTGTCTGATATAAGAATAGCTACTGCTGCTCACTTTTGGTGTCCATTTGCATAAAATGTCTTTTTCCACCCCTTTACCTTAAGTTTATGTGAGTCCTTATGTGTTAGCTGAGTCTCTTGTATGCGGCAGATAGTTGGTTGGTGAATTATTATCCATTCTGCAATTCTGTATCTTTTAAGAAGAGCATTTAGTCCATTTACATTCAATGTTAGTGAGTGTTGAGATGTGAGGTACCATTGTATTCGTCATGCTATTTGCTGCCTGTATGCCTTGGTTTTTTGTTTTTGTTTTTGAAATGTACAATTTAAATTTATAATTTTGTTTTATAGGTCCTGTGAGATTTATGCTTTAAATAGGTTCTGTTAGATGTATTTTCAGGATTTGTTCCATGATTTAGAGCTCTTTTTAGCAGTTCTTGTAGTGGTGGCTTGGTATTGTGGAATTCTCTAAGCATTTGTTTGTCTGAAAAAGACTATCTTTTCTTCATATATGAAGCTTAGTTTTGCTGGATACAAAATTCTTGACCAATAATTGTTTTGTTTGAGGTGCTGAAGATAAGGCCCCAGTCCCTTCTAGCTTGTAGGATTTCTGTGGAGAAATCTGCTATTAATCTGATAGGTTATCATTTATAGGTTACTTGGTGCTTTTGTCTTACAGCTCTTAAGATTCTTCCCTTCATGTTAACTTTAAATAACCTGAGGGCAATGTGCCTAGGCAATGATCTTTCTGCGATGAATTTCCCAGGTGTTCTTTGTGTTTCTTGTATTTGGATGTCTAGGTCTCTAGCAAGGCCAGGAAAGTTTTCCTTGATTATTCCCCCAAATATTTTTTCCAAACTTTCAGATTTTTCTTCTTTCTCAGGAACACCAATTATTCTTATGTTTGGTTGTTTAACATAATCCCAGACTTCTTGGAGGCTTTGTTCATATTTTCATATTCTTTTTTCTCTGTCTTTGTTGGATTGGGTTAATTTGAAGACCTTGTCTTTGAGCTCTGAATTTTTTTCTTCTACTCATTTGATTCTATCTCTGAGACTTTCCAGATTATTTTGCATTTCTATAAGTGTATCCATTGTTTCCTAAAGTTTTGATTGTTTTATATTTATGCTATCTATTTCATTGAACATTTCTCCCTTCACTTCTCATATCATTTTTGGATTTCCTTACATTGGGCTTCTCCTTTCTCTGGTGCCTCCCTGATTAGATTTGTAACAAACCTCCTGAATTCTTTTTCAGGCAAATCAGGGATTTCTTTTTGGTTTGAATCCATTGATGGTGGGCTAGTGTGATTTTTTGGGGTTGTCAAAGAACCATGTTTTGTCATATTGCCAGAGTTGGTTTTTGGATTCCTTCCCAGTTGGGTTGACTCTGTCAGAGGAAAGATCTAGGGCTGAAGGCCATTGTTCACATTCTTTTGTCCCATGGGGTGTTCCCTTGATGTAATACTCCTCACCCTTTTCCTATGGATGTGGCTTCCTGAGAGCCGAACTGCAGTGATTGTTATCTCTCTTTGGGATCTGGCCATCCAGCAAGTCTATGAGGCTCAAGGCTGGTACTGGGAGTTGTCTGCACAGAGTCTTGTGATGTGAACTGTCTGTGGGACTCTCAGCTGTGGATACCAGCACATGTTTCAGTGGAGGTGACAGGGGGATGAAATGGACTCTGTGATGGTTCTTAGCTTTGGTAGTTTAATGCACTATTTTTGTGCTGGTTGGCCTCCTGCTTGGAGGTGGCACTTTCTAGACAGCATCAGTTATGGTAGTATGGGGAGGAACAGGTGGCGGTTGGGGCCCTAGAACTCTTAAAAGTATATGCCCTTTGTCTTCAGCTACCAGGGTGGGTAGGGAAGAACCATCAGGTGGGGGTAGGGCTAGGTGAGTCTGAGCTCAGAATCTCCTTGGGTGGGTCTTGCTGCAGCTGCTGGGGGATGGGATGAAGTTCCTAGGTCAATGGAGTTATGTTCCTAGGAGGATTATGGCTGTCTCTGCTGTATCATGCAGGTTGTCAGGGGAGTGGGGAAAAGCTGGCAGTCACAGGCCTCACCTAGATCCTATGCAATCTGAAGGGTCGGTCTCACTCCCACTGTGCCCCTACAACAGCACCAAGTCTGTTTCCAGGCAGTGGGTGAGCAGGGCTGAGAAATTGCCCCAGGCTACCCACCTCCCAGCTATGAAAGCAAGTATGGCTTTCCTTCTTCCCCCGCTGTGGCATCTGCACACCAGATTCACACCCTCCCCCGGGTTCTGGCCAGGAGACTTCTGGATCAGTTCAAATTGTTACTAAGTTGAGCTGGAGATTTCCTTCTCCCTGTGGCCTTTGCCAAGTGCGTCTGGCCGCCCTCCCAAAGGACCCTTGTGAAGCCAGGCAGAGATGGCTTGCTAGGGAACTCAGCGAGCTCACAGGGCTTTTTCCACTGCTTCCTTTACCCCTGTATTTTGGTCAGCTCTCTAATTGACTCAGCTCCAGGTAAGGTCAGGATCTCCTCCTGTAATCTAGACGTTCAGTTTCCCCAGTGGGGGTGTGTGTTTGAGGCAGACGATCTCCTTTTCCTACTTCCACAGTTTGGGCACTCACAGTATTTGGGGTGTCTCCCTGATATTGAAGGAGCATTCCACTTTCTTCAGAGGGTCTGTAGGTCCTCTCGGGTTTCCTGATTAATTCCTGCAGTTGTTCTGGAGTAAAAATTCACTATGTGAGCCTCTACACACTGTTCTGTTTGTCCAAGTCAGAGCTACAATCTAGTCCTGTCTCCCTTGCACCATGATCCCCTTATTCTTTCACTTATTTTTAGTCAACACATACATGTACATCTTTATGGGACAGAGAGTGATATTTCAATACATGTATGCATTTTATGGTAATTAGAATATCCGGTACCTCAAACACTTATAATTTCTTTTTGTAGGGAACATTCAAAATTCTGTCTTCTAGCTTGTTGAAAATACACAATAAATTATTATTAACTATATTTGCCCTATAGAGCTATAGGGCCCTATAACTTACCTTATTTAGCTGTAATTTGTATCCATTAACCAACCTCTTCCTACCTCCCCTCCCTACTAACCTTTCTAGCTGCTAATAACTAAAATTCTGCTTTCTACTTCTAAGAGAACAACTTTATTTTTAGCTCCCCCAGATGAGTGAGAATATGCAGTATTTATTTTTCTGTGCCTGGCTTATTTCAGTTAACATAATGTCCTCCAGGCTCATTCATGTTACCATGAATAACAAGATTTTATTATTTTTATGGCTGAATAGTATTCCATTGTATTTGTATACCACATTTGTTTTATCCATTCATCTTTTGATGGACATTTCAGTTTATTCCACATCTTGGCTATTGTGAATAGTGCTGCAATAAAGATGAGAGTGCAGATATCTCTTTAATATACTTATTTCATTTTTTTGATAACTACCCAGTAGTAAGATTAATGGATCATATGGTAGTTCTATTTTTAGTTTCGTGAGAAATCTTCATACTATTTTACCTAATGCTTGTCCTGATTTACCTCCCACCAACAGTTTATATGAGTTAAACATTTTTTCATATGTTTAATTGCCATCTGTATATCTTCTTTGGTAAGGTATCTGTTTAGATCTTTTAATCCATTTTTAATTGGGTTGTTTTCTTACTATCAAATGTTGAGTTTTTCTGTATCTTAGCTAACAGATGTTTCTTTTGTAAATATTTTCTGCCAGTCTGTGCCTTGTCTTCTCATTCTCTTGACATCGCATTTTGCACAGTAGAATATTTTAATTATAATGAAGTCCAGCTTATCAATTATTTATTTCATGGATCATACTTTAGACGTTGTATCTAAAAAGTCATCTCCATACCCAAAGACATATAGATTTTCTCATATGTTATCTCCTAATTCTTTATAGTATTGCATTTTACAGTTAGGTCTATCATCCAATTATTTAGCTCTATGATTCAATTATTTTGAAATAATTTTTGTGATGGGTATAAGATCTGTGTGTAGATTCTTGGTAAATATTGAATCTATCTATAAACATGGAATATCTCTCCATTTATTTAGTTCTGTTCTTAGATTTTACCTGGCAATATATCAATTCCTCTCTCATTTTTGAAAGACAGGGTGCTTTTTCCCCACCCTGGCTCCTGCAAACTGTGTGCATGCTGCTATATAAAAACATGGGCATGGCTGCTTGCCCTGGGACTAGGGATTGGGGGAAGGGTAGAGTTGTGTTAAGAGCTAAATTGCGTTAAGAGCTGTAATTGACCAAAATTAATTACAATTTACTGTTTAAACCTTTAATAGACTGCAGAGTTCCAAAATAGTCACATCAGTCAGATTCCACCAGTGCAATTGTTGTCTAAGTTGGGAGACAAATTCTTGGTGTTTTTTACTCCACTATCTTCCCTCTAGCTACACCACTATTAAGCTGATTTTCTATTCTGCAACCCCAATGATCTGTCTGTCCTGTTTATTGTAAGTTTCTGTTTCGATTATGTTGACCGGTCAATGTAGAAAGCTCATGCTGTCTGTAAGACTGAGAATTTTATCTCTTTTTTTTCCAATTTTTCTCTTATTTATTGTCTTCCTATTACTACATTTGTTCTGACCTCCACTTTAATATTCCACAGTTGCTGTGTTAGTGGGAATACTTATCTTTTTCTCAGTTTCTAAGAAAATGCATCAAAGTTTCTCCATTAGGTAAAATGCTTTCTGTAGTTTTTTTGCTGTTGTTGCTTTTTACAAAATAAAAAAAAAATTCCTTTTACTTTTTGGTTTCATGAGTTTTTAAAACTGTTGATGTATTTTATAAAATTATTTTTATGCCTCTAATAATAATCATATAATTTTCTTCCTTTATTCTATTAATATGGAGAATTACATTGGTAGACTTTCTGATATGGAATTATGCTGTAGTACTAACTTTGTTTGTCACTATCTTGTTTTGGAAAAAAATTTTGTCTCAAAAATTATTTCTTATTTTCTTTTTTATGTTTCCTGGAACATGTGTTTAAAGATTGAGACTCTACTTTAAAAGTTGGTAAAAGTACCTATGAAAGTATCTAGGCAAGGAGACTTTTGTTTTTAATTTTAATTTTAATTTTAGATTCAGGGAGTACATGTGCAGGTTTGTTACAAGAGTGTATTGTGTGATGCTGAGGTTTGTGCTGTTATTGATTCCAGTAGCCAGATAATGAATATAGTACTCAATAGTAAGTTTTTTATCCTTGCCCCCCTCCCCCGCCTTTTCTTTTAGATTTCCCAGTGTCTATTGTTCCATCTTTATGTCTGTGTGAACTCAATACTTAGCTCCAGTTTATAAGCGAGAATATGCAGTATTTGTTTTTCTGTTTCTGTATTAATTTGCTTGGGATAATGATCTCCAGCTGCATCCATGTTGCTTCAAAAGACATGATTTCTTTAGTTTTTATGGCTCAGTAGTATGCCATGATGCATATGTACCACAGTTTTTTTTATCCGATCCACTGTTGATCGGCACCTAGGTTGATTCCATGTCTTTGCATTGTGAATAGTATTGTGATGAACATTCGAGTGCATGTTCTCTTTTTGCAGGACGATTTATTTTCCTTTGGGTACGTACTCAGTAATGGCATTGCTGGGTCAAATGGTAGTTTATTTTAAGTTCTTTAAGAAATCTCCAAACTGCTTTCCACAGTTGCTGAACTAATTTACATTCCCACCAGCAGTGTGTAAGTGTTCCTGTTTCTCTGCAACCTTACCAACATCTGTTATTTTTTGACTTTTTAATAACAGCTACTCTGAATGATGTGAGATAGTGTTTCATTGTGGTTTTGATTTGCATTTCCCTGATGATTAGTGATATGGAACATTCTTCAAATGTTGTTAGTCACTTGTATGTCTTCTTTTGAGAAATGTCTGTTCATGTCCTTTGCCAACTTGTTAATAGGGTTGTTTGTTTTTTTCTTGTTGATTCTTGTAAGTTCCTTATAGATTTTGGATATTATTTTTTTATCAGATGCATAGTTTGAAAATATTTTCTCCCATGTAGATTGCCTGTTTACTCTGTATTTCCCAGGTTTTCTTCCAGAATTTTTATATTTTGTAGTCTTACGTTTAAGTTTTTGATCCATCTTGAGTTAATTTTTGTGTAGGTGAGAGGCAGGGATTCACCTTTACTCTTCTGCATATGGTTAGCCAGTTTTCTGGGCAAGAGGATTTTTGGAAGAGATAGTCTTTTGTCACCCTATCAGTTTGGTTTAGTAGTTTTTCTAGGTTTCAAGTTTTTCTTTTCCTTTTTTTTTTTTGAATGAATTTTATGCTTTTGCATATCTCTAAATGTTATAGAGATTTTCAAATTTCTTTGTAGTTATTCATGATACTCTGTCTGTTTTAAAATTTTCTGATTGTGTCTCCGAGAACAACTCTTACAGTCGTAGTGAAGCATTATTAATAAGAGTGGTCAGGTTACAAGTTTTTCTCAAAGATTTTCTTTTCTTTCTCCTGTTCCTCTCCTTCCTCCTTATTCTTTCCCTCTTGTTGTGGCCTTTCTTTGATAGTATCATATGCTGTACATACTCACAAACCCTGGGAACTCCTGTGTCGTTTCCTGCATAGCCAGGTCCAATTCACCACTGCCAAAATCCACAGCTGCTTCTAATGGGTACTGCCTTGTTCATCATGTCTTGTTGCTGCTTCCATTACTTAGCACCAGCTTTCAACTGACTCTAGCTTTGTATTGAGTAGTACAGCTCCAGCAGTACCAAGGCTTATGATATTCATTGATGCTATAGTGGTATCACCATCTTCTTTTGAATACTTACAACTTTTCTGCACGCCCCTTCACTGGAGGGTCCAAGGTGATGGTGGTCTGTGGTGAATCCACTTTACACAGCCTTCTGAGGAGTCATAAAGTAGTCCCACATATATCTCAATGTCTCAAAGGGATTTGGAAAACAAGATCTTGAAGGTTTTGGTTATAGCCACCAATCCTCTCTAAGGGATTCACAAGTGAGTATTTAGGCTTAGGCCAGGAGACAGATTTTTGTGAAAAACAGTAATGTCCTTCCTGTTACATTTGAGACACAGCTTGTATGCCTGACATTTCTTTCTTTCTTTCTTTCTCTCTCTCTTTCTTTCTTTTTTTTTTCTGATGTGAAAGCTCCTTTGTTCCTTATGGGAGTGGACTTTCAATAGACAAACCTCCGTTAGTCGGCAAACACGCCTGGATATTTTAGCACCCCAGGGGTGTACATTGTTCCCTCTCCCCCGCTCAAATGAGAAGGCCGCTGGAAAATAAAACTCGCCGTTGGAAATAATATTAGCAGGGACCTGGCCAGTGTACTTCTGCCTCAAGTATGATGAATTACAGAATAAATCAAAATGATCACATAAAAATGGGCACAGATCAAAATAAAAAGTAATTTAGAATTCAAAATTTATCTGTCAAGTGCTCCCACCACTGGACCATATTTGGATGCATCTTATCAATCAAGATTCATCAACCAACTACCCTGGGATTCATTGTGTCTCTTTAGTGTGACTTCTCTTGTCTCTTTACTTATCTAGTCAGTATGCATTACATATCATAATCTCCAAGGGAACAGCATGATACTGCTCATTTTCAAGTTTTTGGAAATCTTGACTCCATTCTTTCATCTATACGACTTATATTCTGGATTTCCTAAAACCCATTATATAATTTTAAAATTTTAAATTAGGGCCCATGCTGGCTGACAAGGCATGACATTCTCAAGTTTTTGACTCTTTTTTGTTCTTGCTAGAGAACCATTGATGAGGCTGATGGGGCAATGCAATGTTCTTCTCTGCTTGAAGACGTCTACTTGTGAGGGACCTCTGGAAGAAGAGGAAGAAGACTTAGATTTAGTCCCAGGTCATCCACTCTTCAGACCTATGAACTTGGACAAGTTATCTAACCATTCTAGCTGCACTTCCAGGGTTCTTTTTTGGGGAGGGGGGGATAAAATATAAAATTAATTATTTTTTTCTGGCTATCATTTTAAGGCTATTGGATAGAAAATTGGTGTAAGAATACTTGATTATCTCTAACTTGTATGCTTGTGTAATAAGATGGGCAGGATTTTGTTTGCTTAGCAACTAATTCGGTGCATTTTTCTTAGAGTAAAATTAACATCATTGGGTCAATTATTTAATGAATGTGTTAAGGGTAAAAGTGAAATTTCTGGTTGAGTAGGCTAGTGTAAAAGCTTTAAACCACTACTTCTAATTGAGAATGTGTAGTAGAAGTTTAGAAAGGGAGGCCGGGCTTAGTGGCTCACACCTGTAATCCCAGCACTTTGGGAGGCTGAGGCGGGAGGATCATGAAGTCAGAAGATAGAGACCATCCTGGCTAACATGGTGAAACCATGTCTCTAATAAAAATACAAAAAAAAATTAGCCGGGCGTGGTGGTGGGCGCCTTTAGTCTCAGCTACTCGGGGAGGCTGAGGCAGGAGAATGGCGTTAACCTGGGAGGTGGAGCTTTCAGCGAGCCAAGATCGCGCCACTGCACTCCAGCCTGGGCACAGAGCCAGACTCTATCTCCAAAAAAAAGAAAAAAAGTGACTGGAACTCCAGGGGTATGACAGGGGTATTGCTCATGTGACATCAACATTTACATCAGATCCATCTATATCAGATGAACTGAGAAAAGAAACACAATTATTGAGTTCTTTCTGTGGATGAATATTTCTGTCCTTATAAAAATTGTGAGCAATCTTAACCAGCAAGCCATAGCAATGCAAACCAGACACCAAGGAAGACAAAGATCATACCAGTGGTACAGGCAGCACAGATGTTTAAAACCAAGATCTCCACTTTGGGAGTCCGAGGCGGGTGGATCATGAGGTTAGGAGTTGAAGACCAGCCTGACCAACATGGTGAAACCCCGTCTCTACTAAAAATGCAAAAATTAACTGGGTGTGGTGGCGCATGCCTGTAATTCCAGCTACTCAGGAGGCTGAGGCAGGAGAATTGCTTGAACCTGGGAGGCAGAGGTTGCAGTGAGCTGAGATTGCGCCACTGCACTCTGTAGCCTGGGCAACAGAGCAAGGCTCCATCTCAAAAACAAAAACAAAAACCCAAGATCTCACCATGGTGTTGTTTCCACACATGGCTGAGAGAGTATATAACATCTGATGGCTGTTCTACCATGGTTTGACTTGGGCTGTGGAGAAAGGATTTCTTCTTGGCAGAGAAGGGGAGGGAAGGAAGACACAGGCCTAGGGCCAAGTCATGAGCACATGTGTGTCTTGCAATTAGAACACAGACTGGAGAACAGCCACACATTGTCAACACTATGATTTCTTCAATGTTATAGTTGGTGGGAAAGCATCCTCTTCCCGCTCAACATCCTGAAATTCTCTGGATCCAGTGAGTTCTGCCCGAAGTCTGGAAGAGTGGCCACAATTGCCAAAAGTCTAGTACCCATAATCTATAAGATGGAAAGATGGCAATGGTAAGATATGAATCAGCTACTGGGACAGTGTTTGGAATGTAACCAGTAAGAGAGACAGAACTAGACTAGAAGCAGTCTAGTCTTGAGATGTCCAGAGAGAGGCCATGGGCAAAAGAGTGAGAAAGATTGCTTCATCAGGGAGCTCACCTCTGTCTCTACGCTCAGGTTCTATGCTCCAAACTGCAAGACCCTGTTAAGACAGGGGAGAAAGCAAGGCATAATTAAGTGGGGCCATCTGGAGCTTCAGACCACTGGATTACACATGTGAGATATTCTTGGCTATTCTCACTTTTCCACCTCCAACTTTCACATGAAAACTCGTATTTTGGCCTTGAATCCAATTTAGCAAAGTCTTTTGTTTGAACCTTCTGTGGTGTTGCCTGTTGCAATGTAAGCATTAATCCAAAAAATCAGATGGAAGTGGTTACGTATGTCATGGCGCTGAAAAAGGCCTCCCTCTCATCAATGGTGAAACCCTGGCACCTGTTAAGAAAAATTATTCAAACTTTGAATATAAGGTAAAAGAACGACTCTGTGTCCTTTTGATGTTATACTATAACATTGTCTTTTAGGACTATCTAGGGATTATTTAATTCTCTAAGAGAATGCTTTTTCTTGACCTTTATTGTTGATGAAAATCCAGACAGTGTGCAGTTACATATAAACTTGCAGAAATTGAGAAACTATACATGATTTTTGATTAGCAGAAATGGAAATGATTTCTTTCAGACAGTAAAACAGAATCCCAAGGATACACAGTTTTATTGCCTTGTAGAACATTAACCAGTTGTGCATATAACTTAGCAAAATTGTTTCCCTATCCAAGTTTTACCTGACAATATAAATCTCTGTCCACTAAATGCTCTTATAACTGCTTTGTGTGCTTCCCAGTTACTGGATTGAGTTAAATTACTCTCTGACATGTTTGTATGAGTCATATTTTACTATTTTTGGGAGTTATACATTGAGAGACTAAGAGAAAATATCTAGGTGAGAGAATGGAGCCCCAGTCTTCTAAATTTTACTCCTCCCCCCTACTAAACCAAAAATCCTCAGCTAAATGTCATGACTGGTTTCATCTCCTGGATCTTATCCAATCACTAGTGTATGCCCTTGGATCTGGATATACTTATTTTATTATTTACACTCATAAGATAATCTATAGAAAAGATAACAGGCTCAAATCAAGCATGAAAACCCACCATTATTAGCTTGGGGTAAACATTATAATTTTCTACCACTTGTCTCTCATCACCCTGAGGTTTCCTGTTTAATAATAAAATCATCTGTTTCTTTTTAATGCCACCCACTCAGTGTACCTAAACAATTGTTTATTTTCTCCCTTTCTAATTTGTGATGAAGAAGTGTTTCTAATGTGTGATGAAAAGAGTCCATTTATTCGAAAAAATACAAAAATATAAATTACTCTGCTTCAAATTGGTGTTATATTTTGCTTACTTTGTATTGCTCATGTCTGTGATACTTTAATGTTGTAAGGGTAAATGGAAGAATCTAATGAAAGCCCTAGACTCTTTGCCCTGAAAAAGATGAACATATACATGAAGTTTCCAAACAATGTCAGAATTTGGAAGATCCCATAAGGCTTACCTATGAATCAATGAAAAGTCTCGGAACCCCAAGTGAAGAAATTCTCCTCTACCAGTAAGAAACACCCTCTCACCTTTTTTCTCTTCCTACATCCACGTCTATATCACCCTTTTTGAATTTTTGGGATCACATCCTAGTTTCTCTTTATAACCTATTTCAGCATTTTATTTTGTGCTGCTCCAATTTCTTTTCACTTAGCATTACATCTAGTTTTACCACAATAGTGGATATACTTTTTTTTTGTCATGAGCTGTATATTTTATAAGAGATAAGGTTTCTTTTATGTATACTTTTCTTGATGTAACTTGCACTCTTAAGCCATTTATCTTTTTTGCATTATGACTTTACATATACTGCTAAAATTTAACTATGTGGGATCAAAATGGGGGAAAGAAGCCAAATTCCAGTTGAAATTGTAATATTTGCTCTCTGGTGCAATGTGAACAAGCCTTAAATAGAAGTTATTATAGTCCTCATTATATTGTTTTTAAAGGGATTGTATTTCCACTGTACTGAAGTCCTTGAAGCCTACAACTGGTATCACATCTGAATCTGCCAGTATTGAGCAGGCCGTTTGGTATGGAGCAGCAGCTCATAAAATATTTTAATGGATAATGAGTGTTAAGAGAAATTTCAAAGATTCTGTTTCCTCAGGCTGATACTGGGTTTTTCAGTTTCATGATTCAATTACTGTTGGACTAGTTAGCCAACCCCACTTTTTTCCTCCATGCTCTGTATTACTATTGACATTGTGGTGAATAATTCTACTGTATAAACATGAAAGTAAAAAAAAATGGAGCTTTTTATTTAAAATGTATAATAAATAGAAGAAAAAAGAAATCAGTGTTTTACAGACAGAAAGAGTTAAGACCAATTGAGATATCTCTTTAAGCTTAGAAACTAATGTGTTTCTTCAATGTCCTCTTATAATCAGACTTTCTGGAAGCTAAAAACACAGCAGTTTGGTTTTATTGGTTCTTCTACTTGAAAGTGACATTTCTGAGACATAGAGGAGGAGAGGAAAGAACATGGGTTTTGGAGTCAAAAGAACTAGTTTAAAATCCAGGATTCGGGATTTCCAGGCTGTAGGACTGAGATAAGTTATTTAACTTTTACATGTCTCATTTTCTTAATCTATAAATGTTAAGGTTATAGAATGTGTAGGGTTGTTGTGAGTCAGTCATAAGTGAAATAATAATTTCCTCAGGATATGGCCTGAATTCTAAGATATATAAATAAATAGACTCTATCAGTATTTTGTCTCTTCTCAGTCAAGTCAGACTCTGCAACAACAGTTTGTTGCTTTTAACTTGCATTGTGCCTCATGCAGAGGTGGTGAAATTTTCTACATACACATGCTTGTAAATTTCTTCATTATTTGAAAACAATAACTACAAGAAGAATAAAGGGAGAAAACACAGCTGAATTAAGAGAAGAAAAATGTACACAACCAACACGATTTGCAATGATTGAGAATAAAACCTGAGTTTCCTGATAGCGATGGTGACTATGTAAATGAAATGGTTTGCACATGTTGCCTGTTATGTGTATCCTTGCAATCATCCATAGATGACCCATCTTCTTATTGACGTGTCATTGCTTAAATCCAACAACCAGGTATGGTCAACTCTGGATTGTTGGAAGCCCAGTCTGTTTCTTCCAATTGAATTGCCCACTCTTGGCCAATAGGTTATTATTTTAAAGTCAACCTCTTCCTGTGATAAACTCCATCTCACACCTTTTTCAATTTGTTGCTGTAGAGTTTGTGGGAAGAGTGGTAACTCGCTCTTGCCCTCATATATTCATGAGGCTAAATTTAGAGAGAAATTTCTCACCCAAGTCTTTTCTAGAATGTTGAGTGATGCGGTGTCCTCCCAGTGTTAGAGTGCTCATCTTTCCAGAAGTCTCCTGTGCCACTTCCCTCTTTGCTAAACTTTGACTCCCTCTTTCTTTGTACTTACGTGTATGTGTGTATATATAAATATGTGGAACATCTATAGTACCTTTTCCCAGTGACCAATTTGCCATTTCTTTATCCCACGAGCCCAGTGGTCCATTCTCCATCTCAGCCTCAACTTCTTTAAACTTGGTTTATTTAGGGATTTTTCTTGAGTTATCTTCCCACTTCCTTCCCAAGGTAGCCTTTTTTTCTACATATATATTAAATCTCTTAGCTGCATTTTCTTCTTCGTTGTCCTATGTTCAGTATATTTTGCCAGTGAATGTATAAAATTGATAATTTTGGAAAAGCAACCTCCTTCCTCTTGATTGAGAGGCACATTTAGAGGATAATATTATGTAAGGAAGAGATAAAAGGTAACTGTAAAAACAGACTTGAAATAGAGCCCTAGATTCTGTGTTCTAGTTCAGCATTGCTCCCGATAAAAGACAACTATTCAACAAGCTACATTTAACGGCATTTATTTGAGCAAAGAACCATTCTTGAATCAGGCAGCCCTCAGAACCAGAAGAGGTTCAGAGAACTCTGCTCTGCAATGTGGGCAGTGAGTATTTATAGGCAGAAAAGGTTGATGCAAGCAGAAACAAGGAACAAAAAGCAAATTGGTTATTTCAAAGGTACTTTTTTTGTAAGGTTAAAGCAGAGGGGATTTTCTTATTATGCTAGCTAAGCTGGCTTGTTTGGAGATTTGGTTATTTCTCTCTCTCTCTCTCCTAATTTCTCAGTCCGGATAAACGACTTAGTTTTGGCTTGGGGTGTTTTAGTTTAGCTTGAGTGACTCCATTTTGGTTTGGTCTGGTTAGGGCTAATGCCAGAGCTCAGTCCAAATTAATGGATTTCTATAAATTTTATTTAATACGCCCAAGCATGGTTCTGAGTTACATAATTGAAACTCTGTGGCCTTTCTTTCCCCTAAAGACAGCTCAGGGGAAATGAGAGCAGCTCACTCTAGCCCTACAGTCTCAGTGCTCGGCACACTGAGAGCAACGTTCAGTTTATGTGGCCATAGTGCCTATAGTCTGTGAAAGCCTCAGCGTGGAGTCTGTGTCTTGTTTATCAATGTTTTTTCTGGTTTCCAGCCTCACATATAGCAACTGCTATTAGTCAACAAATGTTTGCCAAGATAATAAATTAACAGATGAATGACTGTCTCCAAGTTCAATTTTCTCCTAAAGGTAGAAAGAACTTTGTTGGTGAACTTCGAAATTGTTCTAGTTATGGCACTGTAATATGATGCAAGGGTCTTCATTCCATCCCTATACTTGTACCTAATGAAGAACGCAGGAGCAATTTTTTAAGCTGGCCATCATTGCAATTTTTTTCATTTAAAAATATGCATAGTAATGGGAAACACACCAAACAGTCCTAAAACAGTTATTGTAGGGACACTGTGTCAGGCTGACTTTACTCAAAAGCATATTTCTCTCTTCCTTCTGTGCATGTAAAACACATCTCATCTTTGACCATATGTTTCCAGCCCTCACTTTCTTCTTTTCTCTTGCTTTGCCCTTCTCCAGCTTAAAATATTTTCCAAACTATTTTTTAAATTCTGATTTTTCACTTTTCATTTTTCTTATCTTCAGTAAATGTTATTGCTTCAGGAAAGACATCCTGGTAGATTTTGATAAACTCTATACCTCAAGACTTAACTCCCCTAAATGTCCCACTTCCCATCCCCAATGATAACAGACAGACAGACATACACACACACACACACACACACACACACACACACACATGCACGCATGCGCACACAGCTGTTACTGCCTTCATGAGAAGTCATAAGAGCATCTATCCTAAATTCATTGAGTTGTACTAAGAAAGGGCCTGCTTAATCAAAGAAAGGTATTATATATTTGCAACCTACAATCTAATAATCAATCTAATAATAGCAGTACTTCCCTTTGGGCATGATGGTTGCAGGGGTGGGAGAGCTTCACTGGCTGTTGTACACATAGATTCTCAGAGCTCATAAAAGAAATTATTTTAGTCGTATAATAATTTAATATGATTAATATTATACTTTTAAATATCTTACTTTTTCCTTTATAGAAACATATTTCTTAGAAATGGTAGACTTCATCAATTCCCTTTTTATAGAGGTGAGGAACTGAGTCTCAGAGAAGTTAAGTGAATTGCCCAAAGAATAAACAAATAAGTGGCCAAGATAAGACTTGGACTCAGAGTTTCTAACTCCAAAAGCCACATTCTTACAAGCAATTTCTATTGGACTTTAAGTTTACAAACCACTCTCATATAATCAACTAATTCAATTCTTACAATATTGTATTCAGTTGACATTTTCTACATTTTACTAAGAGAATCTACCAAAAGCTCCTCAGAGTTGGAGCCAGGACATATCCCATGTTGCTTGTCTCTAAATCTCTGAATTTTTAACTGTCACTGCTGAACTTTCTGTCCATCATATGTCCCTGAGAAATAGTGATGAAAAGAAATAAAAGTAACTGTGAGATTTTATTTTCTTAAAGTCAAAATTGTCAATGACAGAAAGATTCTTGTATTGTTTTAATTGCAGCTTCTCAGACCCTCAGATGACAGGTAGCATCAGACAGTTTGACTACTAACCATAGTTATCAGGGAAAGATGTTCTTGAAAGATGTGTTTGTTATGAACTAAATTGTATCTGCCCTAAAATTCATATGTTGAAGTCCTAAGCCCCGGTGCTTCAGAAGGTGACAATATTTGGAGATAGGATCTTAAAGAGGTAATTAAGATAAAATGAGGTCATTGGGTTGGGCATTAGTCCAATAAGATTTGTGTCCTATAAGAATAGGAAATTTGTAAGCAAATTAACACAGAGGCAGGAAATCAAATATCATATGTTTTTACTTATAAGGGGGAGCTAAACATTGAGTACTCATGGACATACAAATGGCAACAACAGACACTGTGGACTGCTAGAAGGGGGAGGGAGAGGAAGAGGTAGGGGTTGAAACACCAACTATTGGGTACTATACTCACTACCTGGGTGATGATGGGATCTGTCCTACCCCAAACCTCAGCAACATGCAATACAGACGTGTAACAAACCTGGACATGTATCCCCAGAATCTAAATAAAAGTTGAAATTCTAAAAAATGTTTTGAAAAAAGAATAGGAAATTTGGACACAGACATGTACAGAGGAAAGACCCCAAGGTATAGGGAGAAGATGGCCAACTGTATGCCAGGGAGACAGGCCTGGAACAGATCTTTCCTTCATGACCCTCAGAAGGGACCAACCCTGCTGAAACCTTGATCTTGGATTTCTGGATTCCAGAGCTATGAGAAAATAAATTACTGTTTTTTAAGCCATCTAGTTCCTAGGACTTTGTTATGGGAGCCCTAGCAATCTACTACAGTATTCATAAATAATTAATTAAACAAAGTCAAACATGGCTTTGTAAGTCTTGGCAAAATAGTACACTATCTTTGAAATGACAAGGAGAATTTCAGGATGAACATGCCTCCAGAAATTACAATTAAAGAAAATTTTCCTAGGGGTGGGAGGAAACTTTTGGAGCTGATGGAGGTCTATGACACAGATTCTGGTGATGGTTTCACCAGTTTATACTTATCTGCAAACTCATCAAATTGTATCCATTAAATGGGTTCTCCTTTTGATATGTTAATTATACATCAATAAAATGGCTTAAATACGCACACACACACACACACACGAATATTATTCAACTTCTCACAGTACGGGATACCAGGATATTGGTAATGTGATCAGTGTTACAGAGATGTCCAGCATTCAAACTTTGAGATTCTATAAGGCTTTGGTTAGATTATAGGGGTAACCTCTCTTCTAGGCTTAAGGAAGCTGACAGCTAGTGCTTGCTTACAAAGGTTTTATGGTAAGCAAGGATAGTGTGAGGTGATAGCAGAAAGCTAATTTTTAAAGTTATCCTTCATTTTTCTTCCATTTTCTGAGCATTTCATTATCTACCTTTTTCACTGTTAATTTATAAGCAGGACACCAGCAGCTTTCCTTTTCTATTGCCGCTAGGTGGCCTGATACAAGTTAGCAGTAATATTTGGAGAATGGCATATCCATCTGCAGTATAAAGTCAATTACTATCACGCCTGTAATCCCAGCACTTTGGGAGGCCAAGGCGGGTGGAGCAGAAGGTCAGGAGTTCAAGACCAGCCTGGCCAATATGGTGAAACCCCATCTCTAATAAAAAAATACATTAAAAAATTAGCTGGGCATGGTGGCGCACACGTGTAATCCCAGCTACTTGGGAGGCTGAGGCAGGAGAATCTCTTGAACTCGGGAGGCGGAGGTTGCAGTGAGCTGAGATCACACCACTGCACTCCAGCCTGGGCGACAGAGTGAGACTCCATCTCAAAAAAAACAACAAAAAACAATTACTAGAAACTGGCTTTTGTAACGCCAAGGAATTTTCCGTCATTCTTCTAGTATAAGGAAGCTCTTTTGGAAATGCAGTGGTAAGAAAGTCCATATGAAATTCATGAGTTTTGAGAGCTGCAAGGGGTGTTAATTCATCCAGTCCAATAACTTTGAACCATGGATGTACGTCATAATCATCCATGAAATTGTTTAAAGTCAAATATACCTGAATGTCCCTTGTTCCATGGGCCCAGGGTGAGCCTTGAGCATTTAGGGTTATGAAAATTGCCACAGGCGATTCTGATGTTCACTCTTGAAGAACCAGGACAACTTCCTCATTTACAGGCCTCACAATGACTCAGGGCTGTCTGGGCTGGAGCAGGCTTGGAGGCAGTTCTGAGTTCCAGCCACCTCCTTTCTGCTGCATCATAATCTCTTAGTGTTCTTTCAGTGTGTTTTGCTGTCCTCACTCTCCCCATCACCACAGCTTTCTCCTAGATTTAAATTTGACTTTGGCAAGAGAGGAGATCAGAAAAATATCACAAAACCTTATCAGATGAATGCTGAGCAATCAGAAAGCAAACATTTACCTCCTTCTCATCTTCATTACCCCCGGTGACCATAATTTCTATTTCATCACCAGCCTGGCTGGGCAGGCCCCTAATTAAATAGTTAGCTTCATCAGCTGCAGGCTTTGAGATAACAGTAGGCACAATAAACAATAGAATGTGACTCAGCTAGGTAGTTGTAGCTAATGAATGACAATCATATACAGAGTTTCAAGTGCACATTTCAGGGGATGCATTCAGTTAGAATATTATTAGTAGAATTGCTAACAGTACTAACCAGAACACTGAGACCTTATCTTTCCTATAATGGAGCCCTCCTCTAGTTTGGAGACCTGATGCAATCAGTCAAGCTTGCTTGCTCTTCTGCTTCCTTTGTGTTCAATACCAATTATAAGAAATATGGTATATAGGGGACCATACGTCTGTTTGCAGGTCTTAAGTATGTAAATTGGATTGTTTATATCTAGGTCTTCTGGAGAAAGACTTTGCTTATGTATTCAATTTATTTTCATTGCTTAGCAGTACTTAGTAAAAAGGCTTTTCAATGACCTCGGAGGCAGGATGGTCCAATCTAGTGGAAAGATCATTTCAGTAGGATCTGAAGACTCAGATTTTAGTTTCAGCTCTGCAAGAAAGAGGAAGGCACGAGTTCTGTTTCTCAAATGCAATAAGTTACTTATAAGGTTTGATCGATGGGTCATTGTGAGATAAGATAATCCATTCAAAAATACTTTGGGGATGACGCACTGTTGTGAAAATATGATGCTATTCTGGTCCAGTTCCATGGACTCATTGATATAGTCATTAAAAATAACACGATTAGCTTTCCAAGGCAATTTTCGGATTTTAATTTGTTTTTTTGAAATATAATATGATGGTAATTTTCTAAGTTTGGAATTGCTGTCTCTTCTATAGAAAATAATTGAAACTGAAAATATAATATAAATGTAATTAGATTTAAATGTCGCTAATATTTTTGGTTCTATTCTGTTGTGCCACTGGGGCAAGTGCCTATCTACTTGCTATGCCTGTAGCATCTTCATGTTTACGAAACAATTAACGTTTCCTAGAACCATTTGGAAAATGTTACGGTATCTTTACTTTGCTCAGCATAAACAGGGAGGCAGAAAGAAGCTCAAAACTATGGAAACTCAAGGGGCGGTGGCTTACCATACTCAGTAGAACCGTATTTATCCATGTTTTCCCCCCAGATCTCCCAATTTATTAGATTCCCACATTAGGAGGAATCATCCCTTCCAAACTGAAACTTTGTTTGTGGAGAAATGTCTTGGGATTGATTACAAAGGGAGAATTATCAAATAAATATTCCACTTTTATGTTATTGTTTTGACTGGAATATAATTGTAAGGTCTTAGAGACACAGAGCAAATATATTATTCATTTGTACATTAATTTTTAAAGGAAAACATTTTAGTCTGATTATGAATACTACAAGCAGCATAATACTAGACAATAAAGAAATGTATAAAGATGCTGGCTAAATCACCCATAATTCTGCTTTCAAGAGTTAATACCATTTGGTGTGCCCCTTAAGACTTCTTCCTTCTCATGTTCACTTAGAAAAAAATATATATCTTTGTGTATGGTTTATAAACAGTGGGATGCTATTACATGCTGTTTTGCAAGACATTATTTTCATTTGATGGAATACCTTTTATTGTTTTCGAGTAAATGCGCCTGTGCATCATCATTTTTCATGGCTTTAGTTTCTTTCCTTTTATGGACTGGCCATCATTTAATTTTCCAAACACTTTTATGAGCCCTGAAAGTTGTTTCCAATTTTTTATTGTTATAAACAATGCTAAACTTTAAGCACTGTTATTTAATGTGAAAAACAGGGCTCAGGCTGTCTGCTGTACAGGCTTTACGTAGGGAGTATACAAAATAATGTTTGCAGAAACCATGATAACATATATTCATATAAGACGGCGTGGTGGCTCATGCCTGTAATCCTAGCACTTTGGGAGGCCAAGGCAGGTGGATTGCCGGAGCTCAGGAGTTCGAGACCAGCCTGGTCAACACAGTGAAACCACGTCTCTACTAAAATACAAAAAATTAGCCAGGCATGGTGGTGTGCACCTGTAGTTCCAGCTACTCAGGAGGCCAAGGCAGGAAAATCACTTGAACCCGGGAGGCGGAAGTTGCAGCAAGTCGAGATTGCGCCACTGTACTCCAGCCTGGGCAACAGAGCAAGACTCTGTCTCAAAAAAAAAAAAAAAAAAAAAAAAAAAAGACTTTCATGTTATCTAGGTTTTCAAATATGTTATCATATTGTCGGAAATTCACAAATTTGTAATTTAAAAATTTTACATCTGTATATATGGTATTCTCTGTCCTAATACTTGTGGTCTATTTTTATTACATTTGTCTGAGATTACTAGGCCAATCATTCAACAAACACGCATAGATGATTTTTCCTGTGTTGGTCACAGTGCTACGCTACGGATACAATGGTTAGCAAGGCAGACATAGTCTGTGTTCTAATGGAGACACACTTCCATTCATGTGGCAGACACAGAATTTAAAAGGACTGTGTATTAGTTTGTTCTCATGCTGCTAATAAAGACATACCTGAGACTGGGTAATTTATAAAGGAAAGAGGTTTAATTGACTCAAAGTTCAGCATGGTAGGGGAGAGGCCTCAGGAAACTTACAGTCATGGCAGAAGGGAAAGCGGACACGTTCTTCTTCACATGATAGCAGCAATGAGAAGTGCCAAACAAAAGAGGGAAAAGCCCCTTATAAAAACATCAGATCTTGTGAGAACTCATTCACTATCATGAGAACAGCAGCATGGGGGTAACTGTTCTCATGATTCAATTACCTCCCACCGGGTCTCTCCTACAACATGTGGGAGCTGCAATTCAAGGTGAGATTTGGGTGGGGACACAGCCAAACCATATTAGACTACAAAACGATGAATAACAAATTTTGTAAAGGAAATGAATAGGGATTTGAAAATGAAAATAATGAAAGGGTAGTCTCAGATAAAGTGTTTAGTAAGTACTTTCTGAAGATGTGACACTCAAACTGAGACATTAAGCATGGGAATACAAATTCATTTTTAAAAAACAAGAAAAAAGAAAAGAAACTATAGTAAGACTGGAGCATTTGGGGTGTGTGGGAGACTGGCTGAGACAATGCTGTAGCCTTACAAACAGGTTATATAATAAAGAGTCCTGTGACCACAGCAAGGAGCTTTGGTTTTTATAGAAGTGCAGTTAGAAGCCTAGATGTCACTCACACCTCTTTCATTTTTTCTTTCCTGTGTTTTAAGTTAAAAGCTTCATTTATTTTACTTTTCCCTTTATGATGAGACAAAGGAGTTTTTAAAAACATTTTCTTTCTTGATAGACCAATGCAAATATTATGTTTGTCCAATGTGATACCTAAGTTGGAACTTTGATTTCGGTGAAATGTTAACTAATTGAGAAAAATATATTTTTTATTTAGAAAATTAGCCCTTTGATTTTTAGACAACCTATCTGTTATTGAAAGAGAATATTTGAAATCTCCAACTACAAATGTAAATTTTCCATTTATCCTTTTAGTTCCACCTACTATTGTTTAATATACTTTGATCACTTTGTTATTAGTTGCATGTAAATTTAAGATTGTGTATCTTCTTGTTGAATTGACTTTTTCTTCATTGTGAAATATCCCATTTTACTTGACTAATTCTATTTGCCTTAAAATATTCTTTGGTGTTATTGATAGAGCTACAACAGCCTTCTTTTGGTTAACGTTTCCTTGGTAAGTCTTTTTCTTATATATCTTACATTTAAAAAATATCATTGTCACCTCCCAAACACAGACGCAGTTTGCCACTTGTTGTTGTTCTCAATTTCTGTATTCAAGTTTACTGTGCTCAATGCTCAATGTTATCAATGACTTTCTTTTTCTTTTTTTTTTTCTTTTTGAGACAGAGTCTCACTCTGTCGCCCAGTCTAGAGTGCAGTGGCACCAGATCTCTGCTCACTGCAAGCTCCGCCTCCCGGGTTCACGCCATTCTCCTGCCTCAGCCTCCAGGGTAGCTGGGACCACAGGCGACCGCCATCACGCCCGGCTAATTTTTTGTATTTTTAGTAGAGACGGTGTTTCACCGTGTTAGCCAGGATGGTCTCAATCTCCTGACCTCGTGATCCACCCGCCTCAGCCTCCCAAAGTGCTGGGATTACAGGCGTGAGCCACCACGTCCGGCCTATCAATGACTTTCTTTATTACTTGGGGGTTTTGTATCCTGCTTAAAAAGACTGACCCCTTTCCAGTTTGTAAACTTATTCACACATTGTTTGTTCTAGAATTTTATAGTTCTGTGCTTTGTGCTTAAGTTTTTGATCCATTTGAAATATTTTGTTTTCTAAGGATTGAAGTAGCAACATGATATTTTGAGTGGTGAAGGGCATTGATCAATTGATTCTGACGCACAGTGTTTAAAACAAAGTTAGCAGAAACTAACCTTCTCACTTAGGCAAATTTGTACACTTATTTTTTTATTACTTAATCTATCAATAACATATGAATGTAAGTTAAATTATATCAGAATTTTTATAATTTATCATTATAATTTAAAATCCTTCCTTAATATCTTAATAGTTGTGAACTTATAGATTTAAATATAATGTTATTTGGCTGATGGCTTCCTTGCTGTTATATTTTCAAATTGACTTTTACCTTGGAAGTATAAAATATTATCTTTTTGTCATTTACAGCTATTTCACTTAATTTTACTCTGCCGAATTAAAAAATTGTTTATGTTGCTTCTTCTTTTTAAAATTTACATTTTGTTTGACGTACTTTACCCATTCTTGAATTCTTTAGTCTTCTAGATTTTTTTTTTTTTTTTTAAGGCAGAGTCTCGCTCAGTCACCCAGGCTGGAGTGCAGTGGCGCGATCTTGGCCCACCGCAAGCTCCGCCTCCCGGGTTCACGTCATTCTCCTGCCTCAGCCTCCTGAGTAGCTGCGACTACAGGCACCGGCCACCACGCTCTGCTAATTTTTTGTATTTTTAGTAGAGACATGATTTCACCTTGTTAGCCAGGACGGTCTCTATCTCCTGACCTCGTGATCCACCGGCCTCAGCCTCGTGATCCTCAGTGCTGGGATTACAGGCGTGAGCCACCGTGCCCTGCCAATCTTCTAGAAATTTTAATGGTCTTGTAAAGAGCATATGTTCCCCAGTTCTCAGAATCTTATTTTCTATTCCACATCCACTAGGGTATTTGCATGTACTAGGGGACATAGTTTATGCATTAATTTATTATAATTAGCAGGACAGCAACTGTGTAAACTGTTCTTTTCTCTATTTCTCTGAAGAGAAAGATGAATATTAGGGAGGTGAAACAAGTTACCTAGAGTTACACACCTAAAAATTGTCTATTTATTGTAAAAGTTCTTTAAATAAAACTTACTTTTTTGTTTTTTTTTGAGACAGAGTCTTGCTTTGTCGCCCAGGCTGGAGTGCAGCAGCGCAATCTTGGCTCACTCCTACCCCTGCCTCCCGGGTTCAAGAGGCTCTCCTGCCTCAGCCTCCAGAGTAGCTGGGACTACAGGTGTGCACCACCATGCCTGGCTAATTTTTGTATTTTTAGTAGAGATGGGGTTTCACCATATTGGCCAGGCTGGTCTCAAACTCTTGACCTCAGGTGATCCACCTGCCTTAGCCTCCCGAAGTGCTGGGATTACAGGAGTGAGCCACTGTGCGTTGATTTTTATTTCTAATTTTATTTCTTATGCATTTTTCTTACTGTATTTCATTATATGGAATATATTTTCTTTTGTTTTATGTTAATTTTGGAAGTTTTTAAAATATTCTGGTCAAAAACACATGAAATTTACCATTTTGGCCATTTTTAAATGTACAGTACAATACATTTGTGTGTGACAGATGACGAGAATGTTTTTGTCTTGCAAAACTGAAACTTTATGTCCATTGTACAAGTCCCTTCCTCCCACCCCCAAGAAGATATATGTTCTTAAATATTTCAAAAGTATACTGTAATAATTTCTTTAATTATATGCCTCGAGTGTCTTTGAAATCTTCCTATTGAAACTTGAAATATAAGACACATTTTCTCCCTTCCCTTAATTTCAAGTTAGTATAATCTGGGTTTTATTTCCATACAATTATTACATTTTGTCCTATGTCCTATTATTTTACTTATTTATTTTTTCCTATATCCTTTGTCCTATATCCTATTATTTTAGTTATTCATTTTTTTGAGACAGGGTCTCACTCTGTCACCCAGGCTGGAGTGCAGTGACATGATCATGGCTCACTGCAGTCTCAGCCTCCTGGGGTCAAGCAATCCTCCCACCTCAGCCTCCAGAGTAGTTAGGACTACAGGCATGCACCACCATGCCTGCCTAATTTGTATATTTTTTGTAGTGATGGGGTCCCACTCTGTTGTCCAGGCTGGTCTTGAACTCCTGGCCTCAAGTGACCTTCCTGCCTCAGCCTCCCAAAGTGTTGGGATTACAGGCATGAAGAACTGTGCCAGGCCCATGTGTGTCTTTAAAGAAAAGTGCTTAGACCACTTTTTTTTCACTTTCATAACCACATTTGTCTTAGAGTTATCTCTACATTGAAGTGGGTTGAGTTCATTTAAAAATCACTTGTTTTTCCTGTGATTTATCTCATTATTTCAATCTTTCTTTGTTGATTAGAATATGTATTTGAGAATTTGTTTTATTTTTAAATTGTGGGCATAATGGCTATGCTTTTTGAGTGCTTGAATATGTGACATTATTATATTTTTTATTGCTTTCATAATTCCCAATAACACATTAATAAGAATTGCTTATTTAAGCAACTTAAGAGTTTGAGAAATTTCTCAACTATTAACTTTGGGTATAATGTTACCTATTTTTATGGTTTTTAATTTTTAACGTTTTTCTTCTATATTACATTAAACTTTAGAGCTAAACTCTAAGTCTTCTGGACCTAAAGTCCAGCATCACATATAAATGTAACACAATATATATATACAAAATATTTGTAATTACAATTATATATAGGTGCAGTTATTGCCTGATTTGTTTCCAGCTGTCATTTTATATATAGCTATGTCATTGCATGTGGATAGTATAGTTCAGATATGATTGACTAGTAGACTCCATTTTTTATTGCATATGTTTATAAGTGAAACTCTTTGAGCATGTACCTCAAAACATTACATATTTATTTAACAATTATGCATGTAGTGCTATTAACTCACATATTAAATTTTAATAAAGTTCAAGTTCTTTCCAAACATTTTTGTAAAAATAATTAAAATCCATATGCTCTGAGATTTTCTCTCTGACTTCAAAGTTGATGCCTGCACTTTGATTTTTTGACTGTGTCCTTTGTTAGGTTATACATACAGATCAAATCTGGCTTGTTTACCACTGTAACACCACTACCTTCCACAATAGCTGGAATCTCATAGGTGCTCAGTAAATACTTATGGAATGACTCATTGGTCTAAGAATGACTTACACATATGCTAAGTTTATAAATGCTAAGGTTGGTATCTAGAGAGAATATAATTTATTTGCTAATGTCACACAACTTTCATTCCAAATCGGTGAAACTGCAATGCAGTTTTCTTTATTGCACCCCAGAGTTTGAGATGGTGCCGTGCAGAGTCGAGAGTTGCACGATTTCCTTATGGGAGCTGTTCCAGGAGTGGAGAGGGAAGAGGGAGAGAAGGGGAACATATTTCAATTAGATGTGTCCAGACAAGTTGATCTCAGCTTAAATCTATTTTCTTTGTTTACAAAACAAAAGCAAATGATAAAAGCAGAAAAGTAAAGTTCAAAATTCATATCCCTGCACAACGCTGTCTTTTAAATTAAATACCTATTATTACCTATAAGTGAATTTACTTATATGTTGTGACAATCGTATTTCATTTTGTATTCTGACAGTAAATAGGCCTCTAAATGTGAGCCTAATTAATATATATACACAGAATGTAGAAAGATGTATTTAAAAATTATATTAAGATAATGCATAAATCACATTGAACACTTCAATAGGTGTTAAATATATGATTAGCTTTTCTATTATTTAAAATTGATGCTTTTAGCTTTCATCTTAAAATATCAGGGGGATTGTAAAATCTCACAGCCTGAGATAAAGAGTTCAGGAGGACAATCTATTTCTAGGGGAAAAATATTAGCTGCCATATCTGTCTTAGAGCCCAGCATGACTTTGACAGGTGTGGTCAGTTTTGATACTGTAAAGTTATTGAAGTGTCCACAAGATGGCAGATCCAGAGTCTAGGATGCCTTATTCACCAGCACCTGGCAAATGTGCCCAGTAAGCCTTATTTTTACAACACTGGTAAGCCAAGCTGGTTGCAACAATTAAAATTAACATGCTTAAAAAATCAACTTGCTACTTGTTGTCTTTATTAGAATATATGTCACACCCCTTTAAAATAACAATCAGCCTCATGCCACACCATGTTGGTTACTAAATCTATAGCAATGAAAACCTAGCTAATACTGTTCAACTTTTCCTAATTATTACAAAATGAATCACCTTGCTTTCATATAGTTATGATGTAACAAGATTGCTGTCATACAAAATACATACGAAAACCACTCTTTTTAGAGTTGTCTCATCCATATTGTCTTATATCAGCGATAACCAACCTTTATGGCACGAGAGACAGGTTTCGTGGAAGACAAGTTTTCACGGACGGGGAAAGGAGGAAGGGGAGGGTGTGATGGATGGGCGCATTGTCTCATCTAGTGTTGGGATGAAACTGTTCCACCTCAGATCATCAAGCATTAGATTCTCACAAGGAGTGCACAAACTAGATCCCTCGCATGCACAGTTGACAATAGGGTTTGCGCTGTATGAGACTCTAAAGCCATGGCAATCTGAGAGGAGGTGGCGCTCAGGCGGTAATGCTCCCTGGCCTGCAGCTCACCTCGTGCTGTGCTGCCCAGGGCCAGTCCATGGCTGGGGGGCAGGGGACCCCAGTTTTGTATAAAGTTGGGAGAGAACTATCTCCTTCCCTCACAGGTTGTTGCATAGTTCATGAATTAATAGATGGTTAAGCCCTACAGAAAAGTTGAAAGAAGAGTTTAATGAACACCTAGATGAACTCCCACCTAGATGTCTCAGTCATTAACATTATGCATTATTCTCTTTCTTTTACACACACATAATTATATATGTCACACACAGAGTTGCTTTCTGCTGAACAACCTCAGCATGAAGTAGGCAACATGACATTTTAGTTTAAATAATGCGGCGTATATCTCCTAAGCATAAGATCATTACTTACCTAAGCAAAATATCATTATCACTCCTAACAAAATAACTTTATTAATATATAATATACATTTTATGTTCAAATTTCCCCAATTGCCCTAAGAACATTTTATAGAGAAAATCCAATAAAAGGTTGTGTACCATACTTATTTGTTATTCTTAAATCCTATTTAACCTAGGATGGTCTTCCTTCTACATTTTTATTTTTCAGGACCTTCAATTTCTAGAACTTTTCAGAGCATTGTAGCATGTTGCACATTCTGCATATATCTGACTGTTTCTTTGTGATCAGATTTGGGTAAAATATTTTTGGCAAATGTTACATAGATGGTGTTATAGGTTTATTTTTCAGCAGTAGGAGATATAAAATGTCAGATTGTTCTACTACCGGTCATATTAAGTTAAATTACTGGGCTACATTGGTGACCTATGGAACTCTCTATAAGTGTACACTTTCTCTTTTGTAATTATTATTCTGTGTCTTAGAGGCTCTGTGAATATCCAGTTTATAAAAGCTTTTACCCACTGGTTTTAGTATCCATTGATCATTCTTTGAAATAATTTTTGTAAAGAAAAAATTAAAATATTAATCCATGCATTCATTCCACAGGTACTGACTGAACATCTTCCACCTGTGAGGCTTTGGGTGAACTGGTGATACAATGGATAGTAGAGTGATATGCCCCTTCACTCAAGAAACATAAAGTCTAGAAGACAGACAACTAGGCACAGACATTAATCCATTTTTATAAACTTTATTAAGAGCCAGAAAGAAAATAAGCATAATGCAGTGATAGAAAATAATGGTGTGTGAGTATAATTTAGTGTGGATAGAGAAAGCTTCTTACAGAAATGTCATTTAAACAGAGAACTAAAAATGACATGAAACAAGCAGTGTGCGATGTGGAGAGTTAAGTGCTTGAGGAGACGGTTCGGATGGAGACGAGAACAATCTAAATTATTTTAATAATTTTTAAAAGATCTTTCTGCCTACAATGTTGACAATCAATTTTATAATTATAAGAATATTAAATTCAGTAAGACTTATTAGAAAACTATTAAATTCATCCAGGTGAAAGATGAGTTTAGGATAACAAAGATGAAGAGAAATCAAAGGAGATATAACTGACCAACAGTATTAGACAAATATTATATTATTATTATGTGAAGATGTTTATATCAATGACATGGTTTAAAATGATAAATATTTCTAGTTTTTTTCCCCCTAAGAAATGAGGAGTCTCCTACTTGATTTCAGTATAATTTGGTAGCAATACTGCTATTCATTTTGGCCTGAGGGAAGTGAGCAATAAGTATCTGTGTTTGAGTGTGTGTGTGTCTGTGCCTGTGTGCATGCACACGCACACACTTGTGGGGTAGAAGGAAATATTGGGGAAATGATTGTGGTTCAACATAAGACCAGTACTTTTGAAAGAGAGGCTGAGGTATTCTTTCATCAAATTTTATCTTCACAAATAGCCTAAAATATACAATTGCCTCCTCTGATCTTATTTTCTCTTATTCACCTTTTCACAATAGATATTTGGAAGAATAATTTATGCACCGATCCTATATCCTCCACACCCCTCCCACTCAGAAAAGTGCAGCTCTTGAATATTTAAAGGAATCAGCTACAATAACCCTACACCAGCTTGAATTCACTCCTAACTGGCTTATGTCCTATTCCAAATTTGCTTAAATTCTGACTTTTGGAATTGTCTCTTGGATTTATCTGTTTCTGCCCTTTCCACTTCTCTATTGACTTTTCTGGGACACCTCCCCCTTGATCTTTCTGCTTTTAGCCACCAAGGGAGGACACCCTGTCCTTGAAGGACCACTGGTCCCTCAAGCCCCAGTTTCTGGCATTGAATCATCTCAGTATATCCTTCCTGGTTTGGAATTCAGACAGGTTAGTACACACTTGTATGTTAAGGCCCTCAAAAAACAAGCCTAATAACTCTAGGCTTGTCCTAATAAACACAGAAATCAATCAAAAAATGCTCATTATATTTCTAACAAAGTAGCCATTTGCAAATTGGAAACCCTTTTCTAATTTCAACTTCTTTCCAGAAAGGAGAAAACTCCTATTTTTTTTTTAACTTTTTTTGAGTGTGCGCTTCAGAGTCTCAATCCTCCTTTTTAAAAATGCCCTTAAATGGTGCTACTTTCCAACCTCTGCACAAAGATTTAATATTAAGCTTTGTTTATAAGTTATGCAGCATCAAATTTGGGGAAATAATGAGTGATCAAGTTAGAAGTTCTGTTTAACAGTGTTTTTTTGTTTGTTTTTAAACTCTCATATGTAAGAATTGATTCCACTGGGACAAGGAAGCTCACTCTGAGAGTGATTTCAAAAAACAAACAAACAAATCTATTCAAAGATACAAATACCAAACTGTTTTTTTTTTTCTTTGAGACGAAGTCTCGCTCTGTCACCCAGGCTGGAGTGCAGTGGTGCAATCTGGGCTCACTGCAACCTCTGCCTCCTGTGTGCAAGCAATTCTCCTGCCTCAGCTTCCCGAGTAGCTGGGACTACAGGTGCACGCAACCACATCTGGCTACTTTTTTGGATTTTAGTAAAGACGGGGTTTCACCTTGTTGCCCAGGCTGGTCTCGAACTCCTGAGCTCAGACAATCCGCCCACCTCAGCCTCCCAAAGTGCTGGAATTACAAGTGTGAGCCACTGTACCTGGCCATCAAACTGTTCTTTTTGGGCAGAAAACACCACTTAGTTTCACTTCATCCAAACTCATCCATGCACACACACCATCGTTTCCCAGGCTAGTCCACTGCTCTGTTGGGATAGTAACCAAGAAATCCACAATGTTGTTGCTGAAGCCTCCTTCTGCTCTTTAAATATGCAAAGCTCAAATTCAACTTGGTGTACTTTAAGGAAAAATTTTGTAATACACATAATAAGAACATTTTCTAGCTGTCAGACCAAAAATGTGACAATGTAACTGCTTTTCTTATAGCCCTGACAATGTAAAAGAGGTAGAGATGTAGGTGCAAAAATAGAGAAAGAAGGTTGAAACTCACAGAGATGCACATAGGAGATGTGATTCAAGTCTTTTATTTTCTGGATTAGAAAATACTACTTATTTAAGTTTAGAAACCTTTGGATTTTCATTTCTCAGTTTTTTTTTTCCTCCATGAATTCTTGTCTCAAAACCAGCCCCAGAACAAGAGATGTAAAAGGAGAATCAGAAAGAAGATTTGAAACTTAAAAAGAATGGCATTTATGAGCATGTGCTTTTCCTTTATTTGGCATTCTGTTTGCATCACAGTATAGTAAGGATGGGGTGATTTTGTTCTTAGAGTCCCAGGCCACTGGCATCCCAGACACTCTGCCAATATGCTTTGTGATCTCTGAAATTTTCTTAGCTTTTTTTTTGATTGTATAAATAGGGAGAAATGATCATTCTTGATATACGTATATACATATATATATATAGAGAGAGAGAGAGAGAGAGAGTAAATTTAGGTCATGTCAATGTGTCAGAGAAACATAGGAAATTCAGAGATAAATCATAGCAAAATTATCAAGTCAGTGAAGTGAGTTTTTCAAAATGTGAACCTCCTCTATGTAGGCTTTCTGAGTTGACTTTTGGTGTCACTCTGAGGGCAGTTCATTGTCCTTGGACATGTATTCTTTATCCCTCTCTTCCCCTCAGCTTGCCACTATGTACTTCATTAAATTTATTTGATAATCCTGTCAGAGATTAGGCTAAAGTTGGGGATAATATTAAGAAATGAATGTGGATAAGACAATGAAAACTGTCTCATATAAGTAGAGAAATTTAAACTCTCTTTGGCAAGCTCTTGTTCCCAATATTGCTGACTCCGTCATAAGGGAGGGGACTTTGGCCTAATGATGGGGGTGGGGGGTGCAGGATTGGGAAGTGAAGAGTGCAATGCTTGGGATATGATGCTGAGTTTCTTGCTTAAAGAATGTGTAAAGCATTTAGCATGGGCCTCTTACACAGTAAGGCTTTTTAAGCCCAACTTCTTTTTGAAGAGAGTCAAAACTTAATGAAGTATTGAAGGATTTTAACGTTCAAATTGGAACTTTAAGAATGAGAAAGCGGGAAGAAAACACTCATCATTTACTGAGCCTCTACCACATGCCATAGACTGTTCTAGAGAATTTACACAATGGTTAAATTAACCCTCCATACTCCCATGAAGGAGATATAATTTGGTATAATTAATACCATTTCATAAATATGGGAACTGACAGACATAGGTTAATATAAAGCTATGTTCTCATGTCAAAATTGAGGTAGAATCCAGATGATAGCCCACTTATTTTTGACTCCAAATTTCATTTTGCCTCTCCTGGGTTGTACTGATAAGTTCTAAATCACACCAAAATCAATAGACTGCTGTCTACTGATGAGCGATTAATCTCAGGGCCATCTTCCAGTGTTTTAGAACAGCTGATGACAATGGCAATCAAATGTACATCAGAATGATGAATTTGAGTCAACAGGTATTATTGAGAATGTGCTACCTGCTGGCTGAACGGCAAGCTAATCCGCTATTACAATGTCTGACTGTTTCTGAACAAACCTGATTTTATCCCCTGAGATGTGCTGATGGCTGCCCATTCCCACTCCCAATTTACACCCTTGATTACTAGCACAGGACACAAACTCCTGCTCCACAGGCTTTCCTTCCACCCACACCACCAACTTGCTCTTCTGAGTACAGTTATTTTATGTTATTGGCCCTGTTAGATTTCCATCCTCTGGAACAGAGAGTCCAAATTTGCATATCATGTACTTACTCAAAAAAAATCTATTTTATGTGTACTTTCAATATGCTGGCCCCTACTGATCTTTTGTGCAAATTAGAAAGAGGTGTTTCTTCACTTTTCCTTTGGATCAGAAACTTTTCCAAATGTAATGATTTCTGATAGAAAAGTCTACTTTTTTGTTATCTGCTTTCTGAAACAAATATGCAAATCTCCCCTATCTATAATATAAATGTCTTGTCTTTATGCAGTGCTGTGTAATTAACCCAAATGGATAGATTTGAATAGCCAACAATTATTTATTGAATACCTATACGCTATGACATTTTCAGTAAATGATAATAGCAAAATGCCAAACTTCTTGCTTTTTGGAGCTTACATTTTGTGGAAATTATCAAGGATTAAATAAAAAAGAAAAATGAGGATCATGTATATTATATTGTGGTAATGCTAAGAAGGAATAGTAAAGCAATGAAGTTACATACAAAACATCAAGTTTTAGAAATTACACATATTAGATACTGATCTATTACATGCATTATAAAATATACACAAATATAAATTTTAAAATTAGATCAAAATAAACACGAATGGCAGTCCCAATATCACCCTAGGTGAATGATCTTGTATCTCTCTGTAAGATGAGATGGAAGACAATAGAACTTTCTACAATGCTGGAAATCTTCATTCTGTGCCATGCACAGAAGGCAAATATTGCATATTTAAAAAATAACTAATGGGTACTAGGCTTAATACCTAGGTGACGAAATAATCTGTACAACAAACCCTCATGACACAAGTTTACCTATGTAACAAACCTGCACATGTACCCCTGAACTTAAAAGAAAAGAAATGTGGCTATTGAGACAGAGGAACTGAATTTTAAATCATCTTTAATTTAAATTAATTTAAATCGAAATAGCCGTAAATGTCTAGTGCCTATTGAACAGCAGCAGAGAAAGCAAAGTTCTGCTAAGGATGCAGTGGCCTGGGGTAAGTAGAACATTCCCCTTGACCTTGAGCTATGGCATTCATTTCACCTGCAGACCCTAAGGTTATCCTAACCTTAACCCTGTTTGATCTGGATTAATGACATGTGTTCTCCATCAAGTCTCTAACAGGCTTCCTGCTGAATTCCAGGATGCTTAATTAACCTCATGTAACACTGTTTATTGCACTTCTGCTAGGATGTTCTCATCTATGCCTGTGGTGACCCTGGCTCCATCCACGCGGTCTCATATATTCACTCGTTCCAGATGTTGCTATTCTAGCTACCTCTCCTCAGACTCCTCAGACCCTTCTGTTATGAAGATTCTGTCCTCAGATTGTCTACATTTTTAGAAATTGATTCTGCAACAGTTAAGGTTGGGAGGCTGGTTGTGCTGTGGACTTGTTCTGCTTTTCCAAACACTCCCTGGTACTTAACTTAAAATGCAGTCTTATCTTCCAGTCTCATCTTAAACTGTTGTTTAAGGCCAATATTTTCTATTAAACAGGTGCATTAAAAGCCCTCCTAAGAGAGTGCTTCTGTGTTTAATATTGAATTAAGTAATCCTTCTGGATCTTTACTTGCATCTCTAGAGCATAGTGGTACTAAATGTGCAAGGATAATTTGAGAGTCTCAAGTTGGTGTGAAAATATCAGGTTCAAGCAAGACGGCTGCCTCAGGCTGTGTGAAGCCCTTTTAGATTGCTGCCACTACAAAGGAAGTCTCATTAGAAGATTCCCATACCAGGAGATGTCATGAGACCATCAAACAGGAGGTGAGTGGCAAATAACTTCAAATAAGCAGAACACTGTTGCCCAAGTTCTGTGCCCACTTGGACAAGCAGCTCTGTGCCAGGAGGTGTTTTATTCATAGTACATAACCACTACACAACCCCAGCAGCTCATCCAGGAACCCCAAATATAGCCAGCAAGATCAAAACTCCTGAATTCAGCCTGGGGCTTCCTTCTCTGAAAAAGAGGTAGAGGCATCAAAGCTAGAGCTCAGAAATTTTTTCCCCAGGCATTCATATAAGCCTAGCAAAGATTGAAGTGAAATAAAGAGGAAGTCTAAGCAAAAATATTTAAAATAATCTCAAGTAAAAAAAAAAAGAGTTACAGAGAAAAAGAGTCATGTCCAAAAACTGTTTGATTTTTAGATAACAACAACAAAAATCATAATACAGATTAAAATAACTCCAAGGAAACAAAGGAGGTGGATTATTAAACATAAGAGGAGAAAGAAATTAATTAAGAAACAACACAAACAATAGAATTGATAAAACATTTTGTTCTTTAAATAAACTAATGAAATAGAGAGGCATTTAATTTAAACAATACTGAGAATGAAAAAGTGATTGTAATTGACAAAACGATGTTGTATAAAATTCTATGATAATTATGTTTTAATATCTTGATGAAATGAATAGCAATTACCAGAACATATAAATTATTATCATTGGCTAATAAAAAGGAAGTGAACCTAATATACTCCAAACCATAAAGTACATTGAAAAAGAAGAGTATAAATATCGATAAAAATTTGGTCCAAGGTAGTTTTAAAGAAAGTCCTTGTAACCTTCGGGTAACAAATAATTTCCATGATATTTAACAATTCCTGGATTTAAAAGGTTTTCTTAGTCATGCCTATTATAGCCTCTCTGAGACTAGATAAAATGAGCTCCCCCAGGACACCTGCACTGGCTGGACCACCTGTGCCTCTATGACCCCCTGCACCACCCTGTCAATGCGAAGATAAAGAGAGAAGCTCCTGCTTAGGGTCCAAGAAACTCACACCACATTTTGAGAGAAACTGGAGAATGAAAACGGCCTGAAAATGAAGTTGAAAAATTTATCTTCCTGGTATTTTTTTAACATTTTGAACAAAGTAAAAGTGAACAGAATATATTTCAAGTTGTGTTGGACAAGGCAATATTAAGTAGACCTAAAAAAGAGTACAACTTCTAAAATTATGCAAATCAGTTTAAAAATAATGTAGTTACATTAAGATACATTATCAAGGGCAAAATCTGACTTATAAGCTAGAAATAATTATCAATCGTAATTTATTTAATTTATAAACAATTTAAAATAGGCAGTTATATGATATTCTCAAGAGATTTGACTAAAATCACAAAACATTAACTGTAAAAGGGTAAAAAAGTTTTATAAAGCACATGTAAGCAATAATGAAGCAGAGTTTCCAAGATTAGTGTCTATACTTGCATACGATGCATAACAAACCACCCAAGCATAGTGGCATAAGCAACAAACCATTTGCAGATTGTGTGTTCAGGAATTGCAAGCCATGGCAGGTTTGACTCATCTATATTCCATAATGCCTGAGGAACAATAGCTGGGAAGATCAGTTTTTTAGTCCATTTGGGATGCTATAAAAAATACCATAAACTGAAGAGTTTATCAACAATGGAATTTATTCCTCACTGTTCTGGAGGCTGGAAGCTGAGCTGGAGCTGCCAGCATGGAAGAGCCCTCTTCCAAGCTGCACATTGCTAACTTCTCCTGTATCCTCACATGGTGGAAACAGAGTGTGCTAGCTTCTTGGCCTCTTCTTATAAGGGCACTAATTCCATTTATAAGGACTGTACTCTCATGACCTAATTATTTCCCAAAGGCCCTACCTCCTAATACCGTGACCTTGGGAGTTAGGGTTTCAACATATAAATGTTGAAGGGGGCACAAATATCCAGTCTGTAACAATCTGGAAGTCTTTCACATGCTTGGGGCTGGATATCACCTGAAGGCTTCTTCATTTACTCATGCAGAATCTGGGTTGGGATGATTGAAGGGCTTGACTTACCTGGGGTTGTCCATTGGTGTACCTGTATATGGCCTGCCCATATGGCTGGGGTTTCTGGCAGTGGGATGGTTGGGTTATGAGAGGGAGATTCCAAGAGCAGACATTTGAAGAAACCAGGTAGAAGCTGCGTGGGCTTTTATGACCTAGCTCAAAAGTCACATAGCATCATTTCTGTCAAATCTACTGGTCAAGAGCAACCATAAGTTTATCCATGGGACCTTTGCTAAACCTCCATAATAAAAGATTATATGGAATCCAAAGCAAGGAGCATTAAGCAGGACAAAGTCTATCAATTTATCTACTACAGAGTGCCATTGGCAACGAAGCTGTAACTTTTGGGGATCTTTATGTGTTAAAAAATTGTATCAAAATATATAATGCAAAGCATTTTCCCTCTCTAATTTTTCTAATCAAGTCTCAAAAAATATAGAAACTCTAATTTCCATACAAATTAAGGTTAACCTGATATATTTAATTAAACATTTACACGCTAGGAAAAATGCTAATTTTTTTCTGTGTCAACTGATAATTTCAAAACTAACATATGTTGGGCCACAAAGGAAATGCCAGTAAAATCTTCAAAGCACAAATTGTATAGGCCATTTTCTTCTGTCTCTTAATTTTTTTGTAATAAAACTAAAAATAAATTGAAAAAATAAATGTTTAACATTGAAAAGCAATAACACAGCAATTAAAATGTCTTAAATATCATATGTCAAAGAGGAAATCAAAAGCGCAATTACAGGCTTTTTGCTAATTAGAGAAAATGACAACAGCACACAGCAAAATGTATGGGGCATAGCTAGTTTTGACTGAGAAAGAAAATAAGTGTACACTTATTTTATATACTTCAGTCCCAGGCACAGGTGTTCTGGAAGGTAAATTCCAATATTATTATAATTACATCTATCTATCTATCTATCATCTATCTGTGTAATCCAACTCTCATTTATCTAGCCAACATTCATTCTGTGTGTATTACAGTTGTCATGGCAGGGAGTAATCTAAATACCTATCAATAGAATTCAATAAATAAACATCACTTTAATACATTTCGAAACTTCCATGCAATACAATTATATGCAGCCATTATGTACACGTGAAGAACTGCCTATGATATAGGAAGGTAGAAAAAATAAAGAAGACTACAAAGAAGTATGCAGAGCAAGATTTTGCTTGTATGGAAGAAATCTAGAAGGATGTAGCAGAAGGAATGCCAGTATCTATTCCATCTTTCCTTTCCTTTTTCTGCCAGAGTTCTGATTTTTCTTTTTTTTGCCGGTAATTCACCATCCACCACATAACCACGTGCTTCACTAACAAGCACTGGAATCTCATTTCCCTTCCTAGGGGTTTGTTTAATAGTTAACATGTGACTCAGTTCTGATAAATGACATGAGGGAGAGTCTCCTCGGGGATTTTTGGAAAATGCTTTCTTGTTCTTAAAAGTACAATTTAATGCTTCCATGTTTTTCAATGTAATACTTTTGTGTTTACATGTTATATTTAGAAACTGCTGTAGCTACCTTGCAACTTCAAGGGAAGCTAACCCAATGTGATGAAGACTGCTAGCAGAAGAGGGAAAGTAGCTCCTTTGGATCACTGAATAAAGCAGCTTGGAAGATGTTGCCCTCTCTTGGAATTTATTCTATAAGACACTAACTTTTCCTTCTCTTCAGCCAGTTGAGCTGGTACTGCTCTTTTGCAGCTGGGGTCATTTTACTTATACATAGGATACACGTCAAAAATGTTACTGGGAACAAGATGTGTGCATCTGTATTTTTCTCTCATTTTTCCCCCAGATTGGCCTTTTTTTCCCCTCAAATGTTAATAATATTGGATTTGTTATTGTTTTTGCTTTTTAAAATTTTTCTATTTTTCCTGAGACTTCTGCATTTCTTCCTATCTCGGACCAATTTCTGAATCCATGTGCTGGAAGAACAATGAAAGAATTTTATTTTAGATCTACTATAGATGGGGATGACTTCAAGTACTATGTCCCTTGGCACAATTATATCTTACTTCAATATAGGTCTTGAGTGGTCTCGTTCTCAGATTTATGGAGGATACACTATCTTGAGGGAAAAGAGACTTCTAGATGTATGTCTCATAAAATAAATAGTTGGAGTTGGAGTTTGACAAATTTATGCAATTAAATGAGAAGAAATAAAAATGTAGATTTTACAGGGAGGAGGCCCAGATAAGAGGAGTGTAATTTTATTCTTGGAGATATTTTTCTGGGTCTTTCTGAAGATGAAGGAGCAAAAATTTAAAGTATTGCTCCCTTATTTAAGGCAAGGAAAAATAGATGTTAAAAGACCTTAATAATCAATTATGAATAGTGACATTCATTGAAAATCATTGATATTTGAGGGTCTAACGTGTTTCTGGGCTGGTGGGAGCACCCCTGGTGAGGGTCATTAGTAAGACCACCACTTTGGGCTGTCTCTGTGGATTAGGGAATGGGGAGCATGTTTCTAGTTGTAGGTAATGATTTGCATGGAAATAATAAAGCATTACTTCTTTTACTCCATTTACAATGACCAGCATGTTCCATAAAGAGACTGACCTAAAAGATAGAGAATAAATCAGAATATATACTCCAGGAAGCCCATAACATATGGTATGAGAAAGAAGCCTTTTCTATTAAACACCTGAGAATTTTGAATTGTTTGCCACTGCAGCATAATCAATGTTATGATAAAGCTAGATTGACTAATACATCTTTCTCTATTGGTAGAGACAGAGGCAAACACATTTTAAAGGACAGTTTCTCCATGTACAGCCTCATGCAATAGCTATCAGGACTACATCAGATATTAATCAAGTGTGAATTTACTGGGAACACCAAACACATAAGGAAAACCACCATGATCTATAAGCAGTAGAGACAAGCAATAGCAAAATGAAATTCTTAAGGACTGCAGATATTAAATTTGTTTAGAGTTAAAATATAAAATATCTTGGTATGGGGTGTTTAATAAAATTAATAAACTTAGAGGAAAGCAAAAAAGCATCAGAAAAATAGACTGACAAACAAAATGAACTTCTAAGTGTGAAAAACATTTTTATTGAGACAAAAATTACTTAATAGATGAGTTAAGCAGCAGATGAAGTGCAATTGAAGAAAGAAGTCTGATGCTAACTAGAGATAACTAGCTACAAGATAGATGTGTATCATGATATAGATGTATATATAAGAACTACAGAAAAGTAGCAAAGAGACATGGATGATAGAATACGAAGCTCTTAAAACCATCTGATTGGCATCTCAAAAGATGAACTACAAAGATTTGGGAAGAGGCCTTATTTAGAGAATTAATGGCTTCACATGTTTCAAGATCGGTGAGAATTTAGCTCAAGCTGGATAACTAAAAAGAATTTATGACTAGACATATAGTAGTGAAACTGCAAGATAGGAGGGGGAGAGAGAGAGAAAGAGAGAAAGAAGTAAAAAGAGGAAGAGGAGAGAGATTCTAAAAGGAGCTGTATAGAAAGGAGAGAATGACTTACAGAAGAAAGACAGCTAGAATTACAGAATACTGCTTGGTAAAAATAAAACAAGGAAGGTGTTATTTAAACATTTATCAATTCAACAATTTTGAATTTGGTGAGTCTTTGAGCTAGTCATTGTTATAACTTCTAAAGATGTGGCAATGAGCAAAATCAAAAGGGTCCCTGCTCTCCTGAAATTCACTTTTTTTTTTTTTTTTTGAGACAGAGTCTTGCTCTGTTGCCCAGGCTGGAGTGCAGTGGCATGATCTCGGCTCACTGCAACCTCTGCCTCCCAGATTCAAGTGATTCTCCTGCCCCAGCCTCCCGAGTAGCTGGGATTACAGGTGCCAGCCACCATGCCTGGCTAATTTTTATATATTTAGTAGAGACAGGGTTTTGCCATGTTGGCCAGGCTGGTCTCGAACTCCTAACTTCAGGTGATCTGCCCTCCTCGGCCTCCCAAAGTGCAAGGATTACAGGCGTGAGCCACCACACCCAGCCCACGTTCTTAGAGGGGCAAATGGATTTAAGTGGGTAAATGACAAAAATTAAAAATAAAGATAATTTTATAGCATAAAAGTAATATGTAGAAATAAAGTATGAAGCTAGAATGTATTTGCATTGGCTATTTTATCTTATTTTATAGCTTTATTGAGGTATAACTGAAATTTAAATTGTATTATTTAAGGTGTATGATGTGATATTTTGATGTATGCATATGTTGTGAAATGATTACCATCATCAATCTAGTTAACATATCCATCACTTTACATAGTTATTGTGTGTGTGTTTTTGTGTGTGTGTGTGAGAGGGAGATGAGAATACTTAAGATCTACTCTCTTAGAAAATTGCAAGTGTGTAATGCATTATTATTAAACATAGTCAACATTGGTTATTTTAGATGGGGTCAACAAGGATAAACTTAATTGTGAAGTGACAATTGAGCTGAAATAGTCAAAATGAGAAGGACTACACAAATAATTGGAAGCAATCCTCTAGGCCCTGAAGTATGAATGAATCTCTCAGAGAAAAGGCCAAGCAGAGAGAAGGGGGAGAATGGCATGAGATGTGGTAGCAGTGGTGGCAAAGTGTGAAAGAAGACTGGACCTAATTTTAATGGCAATAAGAATTTGAAAGTTTTTAAGAGGGGAAATAATGGGCATGAAATTACATTTTCAAAAGGTCATTTTGTCTGCTCTGTGGAAAATTGAATGTCATCAATTATAGAAACAGTGCACTTTACTTTGGATTCTCCCTGCGTTTTTTTTTTATTTTCAATTTTTTTTTTTTTTGCCTTAAAGCCAAGGTGGGAGTGTGTCTCTTAGGATTCTTCCAGTTTAAGTAAGAGAGCTAGGTAACGGAAACTTAAATTTAAAGCACACCCAATTTTGGCCCCAAACAAACAAAATTATTCAACATTATCTAGCTTCAGGCTTGGTTTGATCCAGGCATTTAAAAAAGTCATTAAAGTTGTGACCCTCCATCTTTCAGACAAGCTTTTTCTATGTGATAGGCATGATGGTTCCTGGCAGCCTGAGACTTCCATCCCAACAGCATTTTAACTTCAGGACAAGGAAAGCTTCTTCCTTGATAACACTGAAAAAATATTCCAGGTAGAGAGAACTCTCATTTGCCTTCTTTTGATGACATTTCTATTTCTTAACCATTCCTTGAGGTCTGGGGCATTTGGGCACTGTGATAAATGAAGTCAAGGTCACATTCCTACTGCTGGGCAGCTGGAAGAGTGAAGTTAGTCTCTCTTAAACCACAGGGTATGATTTCCCTATAGGAATGATGGTAAACGCTTACTATTAGGTTGGTGCAAATGTAATTGCAGTTTTTGCCATTACTGTTATGCCATTACATTTGCACCAACCTAACCGAAGAAGGTGCCAGGAAACAAATTGATATCAATACCAGACAAAGAAGAGGAAATCTGCCCATTTCTTTAATAAAATTAGCGCTCATGACTCCACACTGTTTGGTCTTCTTGGTAGGGACAGAATAGTGGTCAAGAGAAATCCTAATAGTTAAAATTAAAGTGTTTTTTTTTTGTTTTTAGCCTATATCACTTCATTAGGAATCACCAATTAGTCTCATAAAGCTGATGAGTCAAGTGGAGAACTTGAAATTTTCTTCCAGCAGAGGTTCCCCACACCATCTTACAGTACCAGCAGCATGAATAAAAGAAAGCAGCTAAGAGGCCTCCCTAAATGCCAACATCCAAAGATGGGACTCCAGAGAGAGTTTTCTGTGGGGTACCGGATAAATTGACTATTTTTTTCTTCACTAGGTGAACTATTTTTCACACAATGGCCAAGTTGTTTTTGTTTGGCTATTATCCTAACTACTCCCCAAGGGTCAAATGGGGGGAGTATTATAATCTACCATAGAGACTGAATATGACACTGACCATTGTATAGAAAAGTTATAACCTACAATGCACATTTGACTTTAGATATTATTTCCCTAGCATAACAAAGAGCCATTAACTAGAGGACAAAGAGTCATCAAATAGAGGAAAATATTTCAAAATTATTCACATTAAGGTCTCAGTAGCATACTGGGTAGGAATACATAGTTATGAGCATAAAAAGAAAAATTAGTACATGAATTTTAATTTCTGTTCTGCATCACTTCATAGTATGTTTGAGCTTTTAAAAACTTGTTGAGGCTGCATTATTTGTAATTGCTCTGAAATGAAGCAATGTCAAAAGGAAGGCGAAATGGATTTTTAAAGAGACTAATACTGGCAATGTCAAAAGGCATAATTTTTAAAGCTTTACAGCAAATTGTTAGAGATTTAGGTATAATTGAATTAGATTATGGTTTAATTCAGAGCTAATCATTTTTTGTTCTAGCAAAGGAGACTATCTACTCAGTACCTTTTCTCAAAGAATTTTAAATGCATTCATCATTGTTTTATTTTTGCTTTAAAAATTTACTCAGAAAGCTACTTTACTTATTGCAAAGTAGCTTTCTGAGCCCATGTGTTTATTGCCCTGCTCCCCAACCTCCCATTGAAAAATAACTTCTTATTGCAAAATAAAAATGGAAAAATATTAGTACAAATGTGCATTGGACAAAGTCTGTATCAAGAACAGGAGTCCAAAAAGAGTCCTATCCATAAGCTGATGAAAGCATTTTTGCTATTTAGAGAAGCATTTTTGCTATTTAGAGCATTTTGGCTTTATGTAAGAAATGGCAATAACTAACATGGAAAGGAAAACACTTTCTATATGGGAAATCTCTGCCATACAACTGTCTTCATCAGTATTTGTATCTCATCTTTGATAAGACTAAAAACCATATCTTACACTTCCAAACATCTCTCTTTTTAAAATTAGATAAAATATCAATATTCTTATTTTCTCTTTGTCCCTAATATAAAAAAGAACTCTTAAATCTGGGTGTGCACATGCACAGACTTCTTTTTTAAATGGAAAGGAAGTCCATACAATACATCAAAAGATGAAGTAACTCTAACAATGAGAAGTTTTGTGGGTAAACTTGCAAGCTGTCTTCCCACCACCAAAGCAAGCATGCTATATGACACGGTAAAAAACCAAACAAACAAAAAAACCAAAACAAACAAAGAAAAAACCCAAGAACATATTTTCAGAAAAATATTCAGAAAATATATGCAATATTTAAAAAGCAAAAGCAATAAACCTAGTTCACAGTATATTGACTGTGAGAAAATCAGATGAATGAATTAGAAAATCGGTGAGTTTTCCATGTCTTCTGGGGTAAAGGCGAAGAAAGGAATATGATAAATTTAAAATGAGAACTACTGATAATAGATTTAGTTAATTCACTATATATGCCTAATATGCATTCCATATGGAAAGAAGAGATCACCAATAATGAGAATAAGAAATAACAGGATATAATTTCTTACTAGAAAATTAAAAAGAAATCTGATATTAAGTGTTCAAAATATAACTTACACAGTGCTAATGAGAATCCTAATTAGTAGAATCACTTGGAAATTCACAATTGATTTCCAATTCATGCATAATTGACATACATACATACAATTTGACTTTTTACATTTATCCCAAATATTCATACTCCACTACCAAACAATTACACTCTTATGTATATTGCTCCCTTGGTTTGGATGCTTTCAGAAGCAGACCTGGAGACTAAGATTTCAGTGCAAATAGTTTTTTTTGTGTGTGTATGAGGTAGTTCCGGGAAATGCCAGTGAGAGGCTGGGAGTGAGACAGAAAAGGAAGCCAATACAAGGGTGGATTACCAACAATTTACCACTGTGGACAACTGGAGCTCAATCGATGGAGGAATTGTAGAAGACAGTATAGAACAAACCTTCAGGGTTATTCTAGTCAAGAGGTGAAAAATCTGGGGTATTTATCTCCAATTCCCTGTCCATCTCTGGTTAAGGGCTATTTCTGGGAGCATTAATTCTTGTGCACTTTCAGCTTGCTCTGAGCATGTGTCCAGCCAGGGAAGTGTTCTCAGGCTGCCTGCAGCCAGCAGGTGTTCACAGAAGTCAGTCTTCAGAGTACAACAGGGAAGACAGACAGAATAAGGATAGTGTACAAACAATGTCTGCTATAGTAACTTAATGAAAGCATGTCATATGCAAGGAAGTCTATAAAAATATATACCATATGATATCATTTGTAATAGAAAAAAATGGAAACATCTGAATGTCCATCATTAGGAAGATGAAAAATGAAATGTGATATAGGCACAAGAAATAATCTAGATCTCTGTATATCAACATTGCTAAATCTTAACATCAACAAAGAATAAGCTGCCAGATGATACATACATCTATGATAGCCTTTATATAAATTTAATGACAAATTATATAAGTAAATCACACACATATATAATAGCATTTTTAAATTTCAAAAACACACCAAACAATGTAAACATACTTGTATATGTTCAAAAAAATTTTTAAAGGCCTAGAAGCATACATAGAAAATTTATGATGCTTTTTATCTCTTAGAAAGACAATGGGATAAGAACAAATAACAAAGTGGATTTTATATTTATCTATAATATTTATTTTCATTAAAAAATAAACTTGAATAGAACATCAATATGCTAAAATGTCAATCTTGGATGGGCCCTTGAAAATCGTTCTCTGTAAATTTCTCTTAATTTTCTCAAAACGAAAATAAACATGAAAATGGAAGATGAAGAAAGAGCAACAAAATTTAAAATAAAGTATTCTTGGGCTGAAATATGCATGAAAAGTTTAGAGATAAAGTATTCTAGGCAAAAACTGGTGAGATATTTGAATTTTATTTATAAAAAAGTCTTGCTTTATTTGGGAGTTTAATTAAAATGCTCTTATTTGCTTCCACATCTGTGCCTGCTTAGCATCTTTTATTAAGTCCTGATTCTCCCCAGGCCCTGCTTGGTGGGCCTCAGCCTCTGGCCCAGTTTGTTAGCAGCCATAGGTCCACAGTTAGGGCTGAACAACGTTGATCAGATTCTCTTCTTGAGATTTGAATGCAGAAACTATTCATTTATCTATCTATTTATTTAGAGGAGTCATGCTCTGTGGCCCTGGATACATTTGGGATTTGAATTCAGAAACTATTTATTTATCTTCAACCTTTTTTTCAATATAACTGTTTTATTAAACATATGAATGTACTTATTTTGTACAAAATGCAGTACAACTTCTTGCTTTCCTCTGCCCCTGGAGGCACCACCCTAGAACCTCATGTTCACAGAAACACATCATCATGACAAGCAGCAGTCACGACAAGCAGGTGAAGGGAAGTGCAATTCTGAAAGTAACACCACATAAGCAAAGTGGGAAATGAAAACAGGCCGAGGCCAGTGGGTTTCTCCTCTAGCGCTTGGCCCCCAGGGCCTAGTCCTGCTAATCTTCTTTCAGCAGGAAACATTTTAAGAAGAAAAAAATATTTAAGCATTATTTAAGTACTTTCATTATTTAAGTACCCAAGCATTATTTAAGTACCCTACTGGAAGCATCCCTCCAATTCCATCTATTTTGATGTTGTAACAGACTAATTTGTAACTTCTTCAAGGAATTCCACCTTGGATTTCACCCCTGTCAATTGCCCATCTCCCCCTGAGCTTCAATCAAAACAAAATAAAACAGAAGAGCAGTAAGTTTCAAAAGGATGTCAGTGGACACCTTATATAGATGAAACCTACTTCCTAGAAGCCACCTCGCCAAACATATGCACAGCTGGAGACAATAGAGTGTGAAACTAGGTCCAGCTGTAAAATAGCTCAGGTACCCAATTAGATCCCGTTATTCTGCATCTGTGGATTTAAAATGATAATCATCTACAGAAGAATAGATGTGCCCCTCATTGCTCAGAAAATCCACAGCTTGCTTGATTGAGGATACAGACATGTGGTTGAGCTGGTTCTTGAGATCCTGAAAGTTCAATTCTTTCGGTCTTGGGCAACGCTTAATCAAATTCAACACCTGGTTTTGGGCCACAGTAGGTCCTTTGCTGGCATGAAGTTATTCCCACCAAATTTCCCTGCTTCACTCATTCCTGGATTGCTGATAGGTGCTCTCCCTGCTGAGGGCTGCCTGTTAGCTTTGCTTAGTATCATGTGTACATTGATCACTTCCAGAATATGTACGGTGAACTCATTCATATCCTCCAGGGGCATGATTTTAAAGGGTACCAGGCTCTTTTTGTCCTGAAGAGGTCTCAAATCGCCTGCCACAATGACATATTTTTCTGGAGGAATGACAGTGTTTTCACTGCTGGTGTCATCTGTGTCAACCCACTGGCGAACATCCACAGGTGCAGTTGTCATGTCATCTATTTTGTAAACAATATTTGTTGGAGCCTTCTCTGTATGTTGGATGATCCCCCACAATAGTGACCTGTGAAATCTCAACATTCCCAATTTTAAACACTTCGTCAATCAAAGTGGCAGAAAGCAGCTTAGATATAGTACAGGGTACAATGTGCTGGGCTCGACACCTGAGAAGGTGTCAGCAATCCAAAGGCCCCTGGGGACTGCATGTAGCTGCTGGATCCCCAGTACAAGGAGCTGCCATAGCTTTCAAATCCACTTTTCCACATTTTGATCTGATTTTCTGGGAAAGAGGCAGAGAAGGTTCGGGTTTGGTGGAATGGCCAAACATCTCAGAATCTGGCTGCTGCTGCACTGCTCTAGTTACTTTTCTTTGGCACCACAAACTCATTTCTGTGAATCTTTTTCAACTTTTTTTTTTTTTTTTGAGACGGAGTCTTGTTCTGTCGCCCAGGCTGGGGTGCAGTGGCGTGATCTCCATTCACTGCAACCTCCACCTCCCAGGTTCATGCCATTCTCCTGCCTCAGCCTCCCGAGTAGCTGGGACTACAGGCGAGTGCCACCATGCCCAGCTAATTTTTTTGTATTTTTAGGAGAGACGGGGTTTCACCGTGTTAGCCAGGATGTTCTTGATCTCCTGACCTCGTGATCCGCCTGCCTCAGCCTCCCGAAGTGCTGGGATTACAGGCATGAGCCACCGCACCTGGCTGAATCTTCTTCAACTTTTATTTTAAGTTCCAGGTACATGTGTAGGATGTGCAGGTTTACTATCTGGGTAAACATGTGCCATGGCAGTTTGCTACACGGATCAACCCATCACCCAGGTATTAAGCCCAGCATCCATTAGCTATTCTTCCTGATGCTCTCTCTCTTCCCCCTCTCCCCCAACAGGCCCCTGCATGTATTGTTCCCTCCCACATGAGTTCATGTGTTCTCACTGTTCAGCTCCCACTTATAAGTGAGAACATGTGGTGTTTGGTTTTCTGTTTCTGCATTAGTCTGCTGAGTATAATGGCTTCCAGCTCCATCCATGTCCCTGCAAAGGACATGGTCTTGTTCCTTTTTATGGCTGCATAGTATTCCATGGTGCATATGTACCACATTTTCTTTATCCAATCATTTCCTTATCCAATCATCAATATCATTGATGGACATTTGGCTCAAGCGATCCTCCCTCCTCAGTCTCCTGAGTAGCTGGAACACAGGCATGAGGCACTGTGCCCAGGTAACTTTTGTATTTTTTGTAGAGTCGAGACATTTGGATTGATTCCATGTCTTTGCTATTGTGAATAATACTGCAATGAACATACATACACATGTATCTTTATAATGGAATGATTTATATTCCTTTGGTTATATGCCACACATAACTACTAACCTTAAATGTAAATGGGCTAAATGTCCCAATTAAAAGACACAGAATGGCAAGCTGGATAAAGAACCAAGACCCATCGGCATGCTATCTTTAAGAGACCCATCTCACATGGAAAGACACACATAGGCTCAAAATAAAGGGATGGAGGAAAATTTACCAAGAAATGGAAAACAGAAAAAAGCAGGGGTCACAATCCTAGTTTCTGACAAAACAGACTTTAAACCAACAAAGATCAAAAAAGCAAAGAAGAGCATTACATAATGGTAAAGAGTTCAATTCAACAAGAAGAGCTATCATAAATACATATGCACCTAATACAAGGGCACCCAAATTCATAAAGCAAGTTCTTAGAGACCTTCAAAGAGACTTAGACTCCCACACAATAATATTAGGAGACTTTAACATCCCACTGACAGTATTAGACAGATCATCAAAACAGAGAATTAACAAAGATATTCAGGGTCTGAACTTAGCTTTGGGTGAAGCGAACCTGGTAGATATCTACAGAACTCTTCACCCAACAACAACAAAATACACAGTCTTCTCATTGCCACATGGCACTTACTCTAAAATTGATCACACAACCAGAAGTAAAAAACTCCTAGTAAAAGCAAAAGAACCGCAATCATAACAAACAATCTCTCAGACCACAGTGCAATCAAATTAGAACTCAAGACTAAGAAACTCACTCAAAACCACACAACTACATGGAAATGGAATGACCTGGCACTGAATAAATAATAAAATTGTTTATAATTATTATCCTGAGTAAATAATGAAATGAAGGCAGAAATTAAGAAGTTCTTTGAAATTAATGAAAACAAAGAGACAATGTACCAGAATCCCTGGGATGCAGCTAAAGCACTGTTGGGCATTTGGCTCAAGCGATCCTCACATCACATCCTCACATCACAACTAAAAGAACTAGAGAACCAAGAGCAAACAAACCCCAAAGCTAGCAGAAGACAAGAGATAACCAAGATCAGAGCAGAACTGAAGGAGATAGAGACATGAAAAAACTGTTCAAAAAATCAACAAATCCAAGAGCTGCTTTTTTAAATCAATAAAATAGATAGACTGCTAGCTAGATTAATAAAGAAGAAAAGTGAGAAGAACCAAATAGACACAATCAGAAATGATAATGATGTGGGAGGGGGGCAGGAAAGTGCTGGGCAGAGAAAGGCATGTCCCTGACTAGAGCTTCACCTTCGGGGCTGTGCCCACAAACCTAGGTGAGGACAGCCACTCCTGCCAAATGTTGAATTTTCCAAGACCACCCTGGCCCACCACACCCCCATTCTGGGCCTATAAAAAACCCAGAACCTAGCAGGCAGGGCAGACACACAAGAGGCTGGACATCGAGAGGAGCAGATTGGTGGAAGAAGATACAACTGGCTGGACGTTGAGAGGACATGGGCAGCACAACGACAGACACCGGCACCCCAGCAGGCCATCGACTGGTGGAACAACGTGGAGTTTGGCCAGGGAGGTTGAAGGAGAGCCTTGGGTCACTCAGTGGCCTGACTCCAGGGGAAAACCATCTCCCTTCTGGCTCCCCCATCTGCTGAAAGCTACTTCCACTCAGTAAAACTTTGCACTCATTCTCCAAGTCCAGGTGTTAGCCAATTCTTCCCGTACACCAAGACAAGAACCCAGAATACAGAAAGCCCTCTGTCCTTTCAACAAGGTAGAGGGTCTAATTAAGCTGGTTAACACAAGCCGCCTATAGATGGCAAACTGAAAGAGCACATGGTAGCACACGCCCACTGGGGCTTCAGGAGCTGTAAACATCCACTCCTAGACACTACCGTGGGGTCTCAGCCCCACAAGCTGCCCATCTGTATGCTTCCCTAGAGGTCTGAGCAGTGGGGCACCGAAGAAGCGAGCCACTCCCCCTGCTGCACACCCTGTGAGGGGGACATGGGAACCTTTCCCGTTTCAATAAGGGGGATATCACCACTGACCGCAAAGAAATACAAACAACTGTCAGAGAATAGTATAAATACCTCTATGCACATAAACTAACCAATCTATAATAAATGGATAAATTCCTGGACACATACACCCTCCCAAGACTGAACAAGGAAAAAATTGAATCCCTGAATAGATCAATAACAAGTTCTGAAACTGAGGCAGTAATAAATTAAAAAAAAAAAAGCTAGGACCAGATGGAATTATAGCTGAATTCTACCAGAGGTACACAGAAGAGCTGGTACCATTTTTATTGAAACTATTCCGAACAATTGACAAAGGACTCCTCCGTAACTCATTTTATGAGGCCAGCATCATCCTAATACTAAAACCTGGCAGAGATACAACAAAAAAAGAACACTTCAGGCCAATATACTTGATGAACATCAATGCAAAAATCCTCAATAAAATACCGGCCAACCAAATCCAGCAGCACATCAAAAAGCTTATCCACCGTGATCAAGTTGGCTTCATCCCTGGGATGCAAGGTTGGTTCAACATATGCAAATCAATAAATATAATTCATCACATAAAGATAACTAAAGAATCATGGTTATCTCAATAGATGCAGAAAAGGCCTTCGATAAAATTGAACATCCCGCCATGTTAAAAACTCTCAATAAACTAGATATTGAAGGAACATACCTAAAATAATAAGAGCCATATATGAAAAACCCACAGCCAATATCATAATGAATGGGCAAAAGCTGGAAGCATTCACCCTGAAAAATGGCACAAGACAAGGATGCCCTCTCTCACCACTCCTATTCAACATAATATTGGAAGTTCTGGCCAGGGCAGTCAGGCAGGAGAAAGAATTAAAGGGTATTCAAATAGGAAGAGAGGAAGTCACGTCATCTTTGTTTGCAGATGACATAATCCTATATCTAGAAAACCCCATTGTCTCAGCCCAAAAGCTTTTTAAGCTGACAACTTCAGCAAAATCTCAGGATGTTTATTTATTTATTTATTTATTTATTTAGTGACAGAGTTTTGCTCTGTTGCCCAGGCTGGACTGCAGTGGCGAATGAGGCAACCTCCTCCTCCCAGGCTTAAATGATCCTCCCACCTCAGCCTCCCGAGTAGCTGGAACCACAGGTGTACACCACCACACCCAGGTAATTTTTGTGCTTTTAGTAGAGACGGGGTTTCGCCTGTTGACCAGGCTCCTCTTGAACTCCTGGGCTCAAGTAATCCACTCACCTTGGCCTCCCAAAGTGCTGGGATTATAGGCATGAGTCATTGTGCCTGGCCCAGAAACTATTTAGACATTGTCTCCACTCTGAAGCTCATTCTGAGAAGAGCACAATCTTCAAAGAGAGAGAGAGGGAGACTTGGTTTCTGAACATATATGTTTTATGGTTTCAGTCTCTTGTTAGGTGCAACTCCTTGCCATTTGTCTGCATTTGTTGCTGCTGCATATTTATAGTGGTAACTTATTTTCTCTAGGCTGTTATTTAAATAATTAATGTGAATTTTTGTACCTTACCACCAAAAGGTCTTTGACTAAGACATCACTGTTTCAATTTAATTTTTGTCCCTTGCCCCTCCTTCCCTCCCTCCCATCTTCTTCCTTCTTTCTCTCCCTCCCTCCCTCCCTTCCTTCCTTCCTTCCATCCCTCTTTTTTTTTTCTTCCTAGCAATCAATGTATCTTTCCTTCTTTCTTTTTTCTGAGAGAGTATTTGTCTCTGCATGTTTGCTTAAAGTAAACATAATATCTAAATATCATTATTTTGGAATTTTTCTTGGTGATAAAATGTTTTCCTCTTTTAAATGTTTGCTATCATCTATTAAAGTTTATTGCAATTATTTCTAACTTTGATCCATTTTTGCATCCTTGAAATGGATTCTATTTAGTAATATATTTTTAAAATTTTGCCTCTGTGTTTATAAGGTGTATATTTGTAGTTTTCTTTTTTCATGCTATCTTTACCAGTCATATGTTAACCTTGTAATATTCTTTGTAAAGTTTCTTATTTTAATATGGCCTTCCAATTATAAACAGCATTAAAAGTGTTAAATAACTCATCCGGAAAACAGAATGGACCTATCCCTTTTAAGGGAGTGCTTTACTTTTTAATATCACTCACTTTATTTGATAGTTATTGTTTAATTGCCATTTTACAATACTGCATCAGCTGGAGAAATAACTAGATATCTAGAAAAGCATACACTTCATGTATTTAGTAAGGAAAAACTACAGACAATTGTATTTTCACCTCTGGACATATTCTGGGACAGTGGTTGGTAGCCAGGAAGGACTCTAGCTTCATCTATAATGTTTTAGGAGTTTAACTTCACCTATAATATTTTAAAGATTTTACATAAATTGCATCCATACAATTTTGGTATAATTAAAAATTATTTATTTTTAAATTGGAACTGATTAAAGGATTAAATTAAATATAATGAATATATGTTTCCCATATAATATTATCTGTTTGAAAAATAAAAGAAGGATCTAAATCATAAAATAGAAAATATAAATAGAAATAAAATTAACATAATAATGATAGATGAAGAAATCAACAAAAATTGTATTTTGGGTTATTAAAAATATTCAACTGAATATTTATGCTTTTACTAGAAAGAGTCACACAATATTACTCAAAAGCCAGTATTTCACAAGTTAATCTATAATTTTACAATAATTTCAATAAAAATAATGCTTTTTGGGAGATAATAAAACCACTCTAAAGTTTTTCTTCCACCAACCTTGCAGCTTTTTAAGAGCACTACCAAGAACCACCATTGGGGAAATGGTTCTTATTCATTGTTTCTGTTGGAATGTGGTCTTACTTTCTGGATTTTAGGAATTCAGGTTACTCAATATAAAACTTTGAGAAATCAGTGTGACTTAGTCCTTCACCTTCTAATATAAAGTGAAGATTTCTTTACAGAAGAATTCATGTCCTTACTGTTAAAGATGTAATTTTATTTTCAAAACATCCATAATATGGCTTTCAGAAGCAGTTCATTTTTCCAAGATTCCTCACATTATACTAGATAAATAATAGGCGCTCAGTTAATAATCTTGGGTTGATTGAATTAATCTAGTTTGCAGAGTGAGGTGTACCTACCAACTTTCGTCTGCTCCCAAGTGCACTCTGAGAAGTAAAATGCTCTGGGAAATGGAACAAGAATTGAGTGGATGCTGACTCTGTGTGCCCACCTCCTCAATTGATTGATAATGGCTGACCTTGGGCAAGTCACTTCTTTCAATGCCTCAGTTCCCCATCTGTCAAATGGGGGTAATAATACTGACCTACCTCACAGGGGTGTTGTTGTGAGGCACTGTGAATCAAGTTAATAGAATATTTTAGGGTCCTCTATGGAGGATGCCTTGAGCTGGAGTTTAAGCCTGACACACAGGCTTTGGTCCTCACTGAGCTGTCTCCAAGACTGGAACTACTTAGTGACTCGGCAAATTCTCTGCCCCCCACCCCTCATCAAAGCTGCTAGTTCAGATGTTGACAGTGTTTTCATGAATATTGGCATCTTACTAGTCCAGACTTAATTAGGATGTTGTTGGGGAAGGCATTTAAGATTTTCTATGTCTTGCAATCACAGAGGGAGGCCATTTCAGATTCAAGAACATTGGATTAGGGAATCGTGAGGCAGGGATGCTACTGCTTATTTCTCTCTGCAGGTTGGGGATTAAAGTTCCATTCTCCATGGGTTTGAAGCAGACTCAGACTGTCTCAGGATCAAAGCAACCTTCAATGGTTTTGATTTATGTCATTTCTTACCACTCCCCAAACTGATCCCAGGACAGCTGGGTGACTGTACCCTTTTGTGGTATCTGTACCCTCTCCTTCCTCATAGGGACCAGCTGATTGAATAAATGTGACCACCTTGTTTCCACCCCCCTCAAAAAGCTACCTTGGAATTATTTTTCCTAGAAGTGTGTATAACACTCAGAATTGGACATTGATCCTTAAAGCTTCATCCGATTCCCTGTATTCAGTATCTGTCATCTCTTTCTCAGTGTCTGCAGTCTGAACCTAACCTTGACCTTTTTTCCCTCTGGTTTGAGAAAACTTTGGACACTATTTCTACTTGCCCAGGTGTGGGCTCAAGAGCCTTACTCTTTCCATCTCAGTTTAGAGGCACAGCCAGCTTCTCTTCCCAATACAGCTCTTTCTCCTTTCTCTCTCCTTGGCCCTAGAATTGTAATCCATGAAAAAGCACAAGGTCCTGGCTCCTTGCAGTCACATTCTGGTTCTCTGTGTTTTGTGGACTCTGTTCTCACTGTTCACCCAGCACTGGCAGTACCAGACGGTTCTGAGGAGTCCTGGGGAATGGAGAGACCACAGTCTGACGTCCTGCCAAGTAGCCAGTAGTTTACTTGCCCATGGTCCGCTGGCTTTCCCACCACTTCCTACAGGATGGGATCTAAGAGACTCAAGAGCTGGATTTCTTTCAGCACTCTGTACCATCCCGAGTAGCAGACAAATCACTTTGTAGCCAGATTTCTGAATGGAAATGAGAAACTGAATTCTCTGTGGACTTTCAGGTTTATGGGGGAGTTTTGGTTGTGTTTCTTGGTTTTATTTCAGACAAATGTGTCTGCCTTTGATTTTTAAATAAAAGCATAAGTGGTCTATATATATGTTCACCTTTTAAATGTAAATGTTTAAAAAGTAAGCATTTATGTGTTTCCATAACTGATATCTGATGCAGACCTCATTCTCTCCCCCTCTTCTACCCTCCTATTTTCCCTCTTTTCATACTCTTGTATTGGTTCTAATAAATGGTTGCTTTTCAAAAAAAAAAATAAAGAAAATTATAAAATAGAATGAAAGTACACTAAGACTGACACATATTACAGAGCATTTAAAAAGTACAGTTATTCAAATAGTTATGAGAGTGATTCCAAAAATCATATCTTAGTGGATTTATTAAGAACATCTGGACTTATATTCTAGTTTATATAAGAAATATACAGAAGGGTGTTTCTTCTGTATATTTTTCTTGTGTATATCTATATCTTTCTTATGTATATTTTATATATTTGTCATTTATATTCCTTATATTAACTAGCATCTCATTTAATCTGTTTTGAACATATATTTAAAACAGAATGGAAGAATTACTTAGTAAATATTTAAGAAATTATGTTAAGATGACAGCCAGTTTATATTTTAAAAATACCAAAGTTACATTCTATCTCATAATTTACACCAAATAATTCCATGTGTGTGTAAGTGCAGATGTGTTTCTGTGTGCATATGTACATATTAAAGATTTAAATTAAAAAAGATATGCCAGAAAAATGATAGTTTATTTCATTTGAGGATGGTAAAGTCTCATACCAAAGACCAAAACTACAAAAGAAAAAAACACACTGAAATACCTAAACATTAAAACATGTCTTGGCTAATGCATACATAGAAGGAAAACGAGAAGCTGGGAGAAGGCATTTTTAGCATAACAAACACAGTTTTAAAATCCTAATCCCAATAAAAAATAAGATTTTATGTCCTTAAGCAAAATATGCTTTGAAATGTAAAATTTGTACAAAAATGAAATACTACCTAGAGTTGAAACAAACTAACAAAAAAGTTTATTCTCATTAGTTATTGAAGAAATGCAAATTAAAGCAGCAAGAGGGTAACTTGTTATTTATTACCTAGCAAAGTTGGAAAAGAAGTCATAGCAGGCTGCCAGTTCCGCGGCTACACAGGAGTTTAGCTAAAGGAGACTGTTAACAATTTGGATGTGTGTCCCTGTCCAAGTCTCATGTTGAAATGTAATCCCCAATGTTGGCGGTGGGGCCTGGTGCCAGGCGTTTGGGTCATCGGGGCAGATCCCTCCTGAGTGGCTTGAGCCATCCTCTTGGTGATGAGATCTCACCCTGAGTTCACAGACGATCTTGTCCATACACTTTTAAAGGACGAGATCTCCTGTGAACTCAGAGCGAGATCTCACTTAAAGCCTCTCTCTCTTGCTCCTGCCTTCACCCTGTGATGTCCTTCCTCACCCTTCACCTTCTGCCACGATTGGAAGCTTCCTGAGGCCTCCTCAGAAGCAGATACCACGATGCTTCCTGTATAGCCTGCCGAATCACAAGGCAATTAAACTTACTTTCTTATAAATTACCCAGTCTCAGGTAATTCTTTACAGCAGTACAGGAATGGCGTAATACAGAGCTCTTCAGTCAGCCCTTTACAATGAGATTATTTCTCCAACCCATCTGAACTTTGGCAGGAAGAGAAGAGCCTCCAGGGATCCCCTGACCTGCCAGATTTACATTAATAGTTAATACTGAATTGTATGCCTATTGCTTCATGAGGCAATGTAGGCCAAGGCTGCCCAGTAGAACTTGCTTCATTGATGGAGAATATGTTGCCCACTAGGGTAACCACTAGCCACATGTGGCTACTGAGCATGTGAGAGATGGATAGTGTGCTGAGGAACTGAATTTCTAATTTTATTTAATATTAATTTGTAATTAAACCCCACATGCGGCAAATGCTTACCATATTGGACAATGCAGCTCTAGGAAAATCCCATCGTGCCTCTCATGCTTACTTATTTCAGTCAGTACCAGATGTGTAAGTCTCTCAAGCTGCCCATCCACTACTTTCTTTGCACATAGCTAAGAGAATGACTGCCCTTATTCTCCTCAAAGGCAAACTTCCCATGTGACCAGTGATGTCTTCCCTCTTGCTAACTCAAGGACTTGCCTCTCATGTTTTCTTTTCTTTCATCTACTTTGCATTCTCTTTTGGATGATTTGAATAAACACTTGCTAAGGTGTCATCCATCTTTAGGAAAAACTTGCCACTGCCTATTTTCCATCCCTGAGCTCATGTCTGATTTTGTTGCTGTTGTTTTTATTTTTGCTCTTATCCAAGGCAAAATTTGATGACAGAGTTATGTATAATAGCTCTGTCTACTTCCTGCACCTAATTCTTTATTTCCCTTCATTCCAGTAAAACTGTTGTTGACAAAATGTTGTATCCCCCGTATTACTAAACATATGGTTATTTCTTGTTCTTTTGATAGTGTGATATGAAATTTTAGAATGTGTTAAATAAAGATTATTAGACAGAAGACTTTTGTTGAATGGGATGATGTAATAACATACAAGAAATAAAACCTATATTATTATTTCAAAAGATGCCAAGTAGTTCATATAATGGGAAAGATGAGTGAAATGTTTGCAGAGTGGCAAGATAAAAGCAAATTAAAATTTGCATATTTATTGATGCCAGTAAATAAGTAGAAAAATAAAATATGGATAATCATTAATGTTATTTCTACATATATATAAAAAGGAAATTTAACATTAAATGGGATTGATAGGAATGCAAATATATTCGAACACAGTAGAATATGCAAATTACTGTGATTGGAAAAGTGGGAAATGAATAAATTGAAATGGAACAATTTTGCAATGTAAGAGATGGGTATAAACATATTTGTACAACAAAGTATATTAAATAATAGACATTAAGTAAGAAGAGTAGAAATCCAAGTGTATAAATTATCACAATACATGGGAAGAAGCTGAATTTAATCATCTCAAATGAGTTCAGATTGGATTAAATAATACTACGTGCTCCTTAGGAAAACTAGAAGAGTGTTAATATAATTGTTAGGTTATAAATGTTCAAAACTAGTATAAACAAAAATAAAATTACGGCATTAACATACATGTAATGCAAGTAGGATGCAAGAGCAAACATTTAAAATGGGGCAATAAAATATTCCTAAAATTAAAATATAAATTTTTGCTGTATGCAAGTTGTTCAAAGTACAGAAAATGGGCAGTAGTACCTATCTACTTTCACAGGTTGTTATAACCCTCTTATAAAAGTGGAGACAGAGATAATACAAGAAGGAATCATTATTGGCCAGTTTCTCTTAAAAACATAGGTTAAAAAATTATAAATAAGATATTCACGAAAACAAGTAGTGTATTAAATTAATAATTTAACTAAATAAGTTTAAGAATGTAATGATGATTCGACTTTAGAAAATCTGTAATATTTCCTATATCTGCAATGACAAATAGAATAATATAATTTCAAGCACTTAGATGAAAGATGATAAATTCAAATGAGTATTTAAGAAGTACCACTGCCTGTTTTTTGATAGGAAACTCTAGAATGCTTGGAATAAAACAGAACTTTGTTACCCTGATAATAGATAACCAATGAAAAATTATAGCAATCGTCAAACTAGCAAAAATTAGATATATTCCATTAAATTCAACAATGCTCACCATTGTTACTACTTTTGCTATTGTCCTAGTTAAAGTGATACAATAAGACAAATGAATAGGAGTTATAAAATTCGAAAATAAAGAGGAAAAATATGTATTTTTGGCCTAATATATCTCTCTTCCTTTTTTTTTCTTAGAGTATGATTGTCTATAAATTCCAAAAAAGTTAAAGGGAAACTATTAGAAACAATAGAAGTTCCGTCAGATGGTCACATAAAAGATTAACATACAAAATCAATATTATATTTTCTATATGACATAAATAATTATGGTTTTTTCTATAGAAAAGGATCACATTGAAGACCTATTGATACAAACATTGAAGAAAATATGAATAATTTCATAATGTATTCATAAATGAGAGGTCTGAGTCTCAATATTTATAAAGATGAATCTTAAACTTACCAATAATCAAAATAAATCAACTAATAAACATGTGGGAGTTTTTTTTTTAAGAAACTTGATAGACTGATTTTAGAATTCACAAAAATAGACTAAATGCAAGACTAGTCAAAACAATTCTGCCAAGAAACAACGAAAGGCGTCTTACACTACCAGTAATTAATACATGTTTACTGCTTCCACTTTGAGATAATGGAATAACTTGAATTTGGAAAAGACTCACAGAAAAACAATGCAAAATGAAACAAATAAGTTGTAAAAAAGAATCTGTTTGATGATTAGTGAGTCCCTGAGGCAACCAGGATTTGAGGATTCAAGATTCCTAAGAGAAGGGAACTACAGAAAGATGAGATAGCAGTCTTTAAGCATCTTTCCTTAGAAAAGTTTGACAGTTTTTGCTTTGATACAAGAGGCTGCAAATCAAGCAGATGGCTTGGACCAGGAGACAAAGATATCTGGAAGTCCTCCATGGCTAGAGATTTGAAATTTCAAGTTTGAGACTGTTCATAAAAGTAAGTTCTTGAAGATCCAAGTTCTTAGAAAGTAGGGAGGAGCAAAGAAGCAAGCCTAACACTCTAATAGTTTTAGCTTGAGGCAGTTGTTACATTTTTTAAACTGCGAAGGCCAAAAGACTAAGAAGAGAGATGGAAAACTGTTGAAAACCAGAGTAGAATTTTAGCAGTATCCGAATGTCAAGCAAACAAAAGTTGCAGTTCAGGACCTACAAGAAAGTGGGATCACAGTAAATTTTACAAGTTCCCCATTGTGATCTGTGAAGTCTTCATCCTAAAATTAAGTGCAAAGCACCTATATACTGAAACTCAAAAATTCTGCACTTCAGCTAGATGAAAAGCCTTTGAAAAATCGGTATAGATTTTCTAGCAGTTTTCCTTGAGAACCCCAAGACTGGGGTCCAGGACATACAAAAAAGAGAGGCCATACTAAGTTTTACAGGATTAGAAATTAGAGGTCCTCTTTCTAGAAACAGAGTAAGTAGGGCTTTATAAAAGCTGCAATTCAGCAGTTTTTGTCAGTCCCTAATTTGATTAAGGTGATTCCCCTGCCTTGGCCTATCATAGGAATTAACTTCTCCAAATCCTTAAAATTTTTTATACAAAATACGTAGCATGTCAAAAAAAGGGACCAAGAAAAAAATAGAAAATAGACACATAGATCTAATATATGATCCAATTATTGGAGTTATCACTGTGGACATGAAAATGCTACTATTCATGTACATAAAAATGTTGACAATATGCAGAATTTCATCAGAGAATTGAATTTATATACTTAAAACTTTGAAAACTATATATTTAATTCATGCAATAACAGAAATTAAAAATGTAAAGTGTGGGATTCTTTACAGTAAAGGCACCATGAGGAGGATATTCTCTTCCAAAGAAAACAAGTGTAAAATAAAACAAAATTATTAACATCAACTTTTCAGGGAGACACACAAAAGTTGGCAACAACTTGAAAAATGTTTACTCGCGGAGAACTGCTAGAGCATTAGATAAGAACAATGTTTATAACTTTTGCTGAGGACATTTTTGGAAGTGAAAGAACCATACGGAGTTAGTGGGTTACCATCCACATATCCTTTCAGACTGCTGAACTATGTTAGGGAGCCTAGCAAAAATGGAACGCCTTAAGGAGACCTGCAATTTTGCTATAACTATAGTGTACTATTCAATCTACACAAAGAGCAGAGGGCTTCAGTTGTCAGAATAATCTTTGCAAATCAAGTGACTGACTACTGAAATACACAGGTTCAGGAAAAACTCCCTAGAGAGCCAGGCCAAAGTGTGTATATACAAATATAAATAAAAAACAAATATATATGTGAAAAACAAATATATATATATACATTCGAAAGCAAAACAAAGAAAACGCTATGTAGAAATAGCAACAGCTCTACTTTATATGGGGGAGAAATGCCATAGTTTGAGTCCATGCAAATGAATTGCATACTAAAGCAGCAATAAGAAAAAACAATCATTATAAAAACAGAAATAAATGAATTTAGAGCCATTAAACACATTACTTAAAACATACAGTTTTGAATCACAAATTACGAGAAACCAGAGAGAAATCTAAACTGTCAGTCAAGGTTTCTATATCCAGTGAAACTATCCTTCAAAAATAAAAGCAAACCAAAGGCAATTTTAAATAAAAACTATGAAAATTCATTGGTAACAGCCCTGGACTAGAACAAAGGCTAAAGAAATTTCATTAGGTCAAAGACAAATGACACAAAATGATGCTATAAATCCACAGAAAAGATAATAGACATCAGAAACGGTAAATATTTTGGTAAATACAAGATTATACGAATATACTATAAGTACTATGGTTATGTATTATATATACTTTTTCCTTCTCTTTTCTTAATTTTTTAAGAGAAAGACTATTTGAAAACAACTTTTATTACACCACATTGTTAGTTTGCAACATATACAGATGCACTACATATGACAATACTATTACACGGGAGGGTAGGATGCCACTATTTTTGTGCAAAGTTTCTATAACCAAGGTAAATAAGTATTAACTTGAAATATATTGTGGTGGGTTAAAGATAAATATTGTGATTCCTAGAAAATCACTAGAAAGTAATGCACAGAAATAAGCTAGTCAATAAAGAAAATAAAATGGTGTACTATAAAATATTTAACACAAAAGATGTCAATAAAAGAGGAACTGAGAACAAACAAAAAAGAGAGACAAATAAAAGCAAACAGCAAAATGGCAGACCTAATATGCCATTATACGGGCAGTAATATTAAATGTGAATGAGTAAATAATCTATCAAAAGGCAGAGATTGTTAATTGTATTAAAAATAAGACTCAATTACTTGCTGTCTAAAGAGAGATCTACTTTAGGTTCAAAAAATCAAAACGTTTGAGGTTAAAGGATAAAAAAATACATGATATGCAAGCAATTAACATAAGATAGGTGAAGTTGCTAAATTAATATCAGCTAAAATATACTCTAAGATGAAAAAATAGGGACATTTCAAAATTATAAAACAGTATAACAGGAAGATATATCAATTACAAATGTATACACAATGAAAACCAGAGCTGCAAGAAATTAAATACAGAATTAAAAGGAGAAATACATAAATCAAAACTAGCTGTAGTTTTCACTATTTTTCTCTAAGTAACAGAATAAGTAAACAAAATAGAGAATATATGGAAGACCTAAACAACATTAACCAATTTAGCCTAACTTAAACGTGAAGAGCACAACACTGAACAAAAATATACATTCTTTTCAAGTGCACCTGAATCATTCACCAACATGGATAATATGCTTGGCCATAAAACAAGTCTTAATCAATTTAAAATAATTGAAATAATTCAGAGTATGTTCTGAAACTCCAACAGGCTTAAATTAGAAATCAACAACAGAAAGAAATCTGGAAAATCTCTAAATGTGTGGAAATGAAACACTACATTGTCTGATTCACACTTTAAATCATAAAGGAAATTAGAAAGTACACTCAATTAATGTAAAAAATGTAAAAAAGTAATGTAAAAAATGAAATCACAATATATCAAAATATGTGAGATGCAAATAAAACAATGCCTAGAGAGAAATGTATAGCATTAAATTATTGTATTAGAAATAAGTAAACTCAAATCAGTGCTCTATGTTTCAACCATAATGAACTAAAAAAAAGAGCAAATTAAATCTAAGGCACATAGAAAATAGGAAATAATAAATATCATAGTGGACATCAATAATGATGTAGGTCAGAGGTCAGCTCACTGTTTTGGTCAGTAAATATTTGAAGCTTTACAGACCATATGGTCTCTGTCACAACCACTAAACCCTGCTGTTGTAATGTGCAGTCATAGATAACATGTAAACAAACAGTCAAGTCAAGACCTGGCTCTTTCCAAAGAACAAAAATATTGATAAAATTTTGCCTAAACTGATCAAGAAAAAAAGAGAGAATACACAAACTACTAATATCAAGATTGAGAGAGGGACCACCTTTACAGATATAGTAAGCATTAAAAGAATAATAAAGGAAAAATCTATGAATATGTCAATAAACTTGATGATGGGTGAAGTGGATCAATTCTCTAAAAAAATACAAATCACGGCCGGGCATGGTGTGTCACGCCTGTAATCCCAGCACTTTGGGAGGCCGAGGCAGGTGGATCACCTGAGGTCAGGAGTTCGAGACCAGCCTGGCCAACATGGTGAAACCCCGTCTCTACTAAAAATACAAAAATTAGCCAAGGGTGGTGGTGGGCGTCTGTAATCCCAGCTACTCGGGAGGCTGAGGCAGGAGACTGTCTTGGATCCAGAAGGCAGAGGTTGCAGTGAGCAGAGATTGCGTCATTGTACTCCAGCCTGGGCGACAGAGTGAGACTCTTTCTCAAAAAAAAAAAAAAAAAAAAATTACAAACCACTAAAACTAACCCAAGAAGTAGGAGAAATCTCAACAAATCTAAATCAAGTAAAGAAGTTGAATTACTAGTTTAAATTTCTCACAAGAAAAGTTAAAGCCCAAGTGGATTCAGTAGTGAATACTGTCAAACATTTAAGGAAGAAATGATATGAGGTCTAAAAAATATTTGAGAAAATACAGGAGGGAAGAATATTTCTCATTTTATGAGTCTGGCATTATGCTGATAGTAAAGCCAAAGTCATCAAAAGACACAAAGTAAAACAACAACAAATAATCTACAGACCAATATTCCTCATAAAGGTAGATTTGGTTCCTTATCAAAATATTAACAAATTGAATTTAGCAATATACAAAAAGAATAACGCATCATAACCAAGTGGAGTTTATCCTTGGAATGTAGTTATTTTAACTTCTGAAAATCGCTAAATGTTATGCATCATATTAATAAAGAAGTCTTATGATCATCTCAATAGATGTTGAAAAAATCTTCTGAAAAAAGAATTTTATTTTTCATGAAAAACAAATTTATGATAAAATCTCTGAGTGAACCACCAGCAACAGTGGGATAATTTTCAGTCTGATATGGCCGTCTATTAAAAACTTAGAGCTAATATTATACTTCCTGATTATAGAGTGGATGTTTTAGCCTAATTTCAAAAAACTAAAAAGGTAAGATTGTCATTTCTCAATGCCTCTTTCTAAAAATTTTTACTCTTTTGATTTGGTTGGCTCTGCTCATAGGCCTGGAAATTTTGTTGTGTTAGGGTAATCAATTTTGTGCACAGCCGAAATAAAGACAAAAAACTTTACAGAGCATGTGCTATGAATTTTTAACTGTACCAACCACTGTGTTAATTTCTTCACACATATTATCTGGGTTAATTCTTAGATAAACTCTTAGAGACATGTAGCCTCTTTTTTTACATGTGGAAAAACTGATGCTCCCAAAAGTTAAGCAATTTGCTTGAATTCATAGAAGTTATGAAAGATAAAGCTAAGATTCAAATGCAGGCCTGACTCTATTCCTGTCGTTTAGAAAACAATTTTACAATTTTGAAATTCCAGAACATTTTAATTATGTTTATTTTATGAATGTTCCACCTTAATTAGGATTCATTAAAAGTCTTTTCCTTCTCATAGCAAATAACTGCCTAACTTAAAACAATTTAATAAATGATCACATATTCTTTGAAACAATTTTCATCAACTCACAGCAACCATTATTAATTAATATAGAGAATATATTACTTACTATTTCAAATGAGAAACATATATATTACAGGAAAGTACTATAAATTTAAAATAATTGCTTTTTAATGGTCACTGCTACCAAATTTATCTTTTATATTTCCACATTCTAAATTTCTGGGTATTACTAATGGATTCTTTGTTTTGTTTCCTCACAAGATTTATTCTCCTCCAGGGAATAGCCTACAGCTTTGATGAAGTTAACATGCTTTTCAGTGGATATATGTTTGCTTCTACGTCCCTAAAGGTGCAAATAAAAATAGTCAGTTTTATTGCTTTTCAGATTATAGAGATTTAACATTTTATGGACTGGACTTTATGATTCCATCCCATGAATACCACAGGAACATTTTGCTCTATGTCACTCAGCAGAAAAAAGTATATTTTATTACTCCTAATCTACCTGCTAAATTACTGTTACTGTTAATGAATCAGCACATTTTGTATACTCATGTAAGAGTTGTATAGTGTTTCTTTTCACATTTTATTTTCTAATACACATGAAAAAGTTCGGTTATGTACCTGGTGTAAGAAGATATACAATTTTTATCTCAAAAATAATTCATTAATAATAACCCTAATAATCCTAAAAGGCTACTCCCCCTGTCTTCACCCCCACTTCCACCCCCAGTGATCTGCCGTGTGCCTTCTGCTTGCTATTACGTACAGATCTTTTTCAGGGCTCTCCACTCTCTTCCATCAGTTTGCTTGCTATTTATCTACTTTTGCACCTATAACATAATGTTTTAATTGCTACAGTTTGAGTTCTCCCAACATATGCTTTTGCAAGAATTGCTTGGCTATTCTTGGCATCTTACATGTGCAAATAAATTCAGATCAGCTTGTCAAGTTTCACCAAAAAAGTTTGGGATTTTTAGTGGAATTGCTTTATATCTATATATCATGGGTCTATAGATATAAATGTAGATAGGTTAAAATTTGGAGGAAATTTACATTACATATAATATATACATATACATAGAAAATTAAAATACATGAGAAATTATATATAAGGTGTGATGGAGTTAATGAAATTACACTATATTAAAATCATTGCTCTGTCCAGGAAGAAAAAACTAGTTAGTAATAGTCTTTGATATGTGAAAATTTCCTCTTGTGACCTTTTGTCAAAAGATTACTCTGAGATTTTAACTTTATTTACTTTCAAGTTTTCCTATGCACCAGAATGGCTTAAGAGCTGCTAGAGATAAGCTATTTGGTGGCATAAAGAGAAGCCTAGTAGTGGAAATTAAAAGATCTGTCATGTAGACAGACAAGGTACTGCCAGGCTACATCGCCACAGGGAGAAAACAGACAAAAATGGTGGGTAAAGAGAATAGAGATGGGGCGACAAATATGTCTAATTAATGTACCCGATAATATAGCCTTATAGTGTATAGAAGTAAATTAAAATAAATAAAACAGAAAATTGATAAATCCAAAATCACAGTGAGAGAGTTAATGCAACTGTGGCAGTTTAGACAGCACATATAGATTAAAAAATTTATAAGCATATAGGAGATTTGTTAAATCTAACCAATAACTCAATTGAATTGGCCTTTATAAAATACTGCACCCCAAAACTGAAGGAAAATAGCTTTTAAATTACATATGAGTTATATGCCAAGCCAACTGACCATATGTCTGATGACAGAGCAATTTCAAGAATTTTTAAAAGATGAAATCATATAAATTATGTTCTTTGGCTGTAGTTGTATTATTCTATAAAAAAATAAGCAAAGCCAGCTAGAAAAACCCCATGTATTTGGAATTTATGAAATATATGAGTCCAGAAAAACCATAATGGAAATTAGAATATATTTAAAATTAATTTATTATAAAAAGAATATCTATAAAAACAAAAAAATAAAGCCATAATTAGTGGAACCTTTACAACCTTAATTATGTTAGGAAAGAAAGGCTAAAGATAATTGAGCGAAGCATTCCTCTCAAGAAGCTTGAGAAAGAACAGTGAAGAAAGATAGAAGGAAGAAAATAATATTAGAAATTAATGTAAAAGTAAGTAAATATATAACAGGATAAACAAAGCAAAAACTTGGTTAATTGTAAAGATAAATAAAGTTGGTGCATCTCTAGTGAGAAGATGAAGAAAGAGAAAGCATAATATCAGTAATAAAAAAAGGCATCACTGCGGGTAATTTAGAAATTAAGATAATATAAATATATTATGCTAATAAGGTAAAAATTTATGGTTAACTATGCATGTATACAAGATAAATATTAACTCAAGAATAAATAAAAAAGAAATCATCATATTATCATTAACTGCATTGAGAAAGAAGTGAAGTATTTTTTAAATAAAAACTTAGGTCTCAGATAGTTTCCTTAGCAAATTTTGCCAATTTTTCAAAGATGATTCTCCATATCAAACAAATTCCTTCAATAAATAGATCAAGAGAAAACATTCCAAAACTCAATCCATGACACTATCATAACCTGTCACAAAAATTTAAAAATATACAAGATATGCAAAAAATACATTAAATTTTTACTCATGGATATATATATATGAATATTCCTAAACAAAATATTAGCAATGTGCCATTTAGCAGTATATGAAAAATGAGTTTCTAAGATAAGTTTATACCCAGAATGCAAGGTTTGTTTAAGATTGGAAACTAATTAATATCAGTCAAAACATTAACAGATCACAGAGAATAGAAATATATGAAAATTTTAATGGTTATCAAAAAAGCACTTGATAATTTCAACAGCCTTTTATAATAGATAATTTAGCATATTTGGGCCTCAAAAAGTCCTTTCAATGTAAGTGTATGCCAATAAAATATAGAGCAAGCTTCAAACTTAGTGTTGAATCATTGAAAGTCATCACAACTGTAGAAGTCCTACAAATCAAAGGAAAAGAGATAACTCAGTAGGAAAAAGAACTACAATTTGAACAAACTGTAATAGGAAATCCAAACCAATATATATATGAAAGTAATCATTAATAATCAGGGATTTGAACATTACAATCACAATTCAGAACAATACATACTATATTGGCAAAAGCTATAATTTTGACACTAACAAGTGGTGGTGGCAGGTACATGGAGATATGGGAGTTCTCACATACTGCTATCAGAGTATAAATGTGTACATTTGTGAAACAGTATGACATGAGTGATTTAGAAACTACTCATATTCTATGGCTCAGCAAGTCTGTTTCTATCAGATGCTGTAAAGAAATATATGCACATTTTCACCAGGAAAATATGCAGAAGAATGTTCATAGCACCATTTTTCTTAACTCCAAACTAGAAAGAATTTAACTATCCTAAACATTCAAATGGGCAAGTAAATTGCTGCCTGTGGAATATTACAAACAAGTCAAATAAATATAAAATAAATAGCTCAAACAACAAGTTTGAATCCAAGAAACTGAATGTTGAGCCAAAAAAGCAACACATGAAAAAATCCGTAGAGAATATTTCCATTCATGTCATGTTCAAACTGGGCTATTCTAAGTATGTCATTTAGGGATGGCTTCATAGCTTGTAAAAGTAAGATGAAAGGACAGTATTGTCACAAAAGTCAGGATTTGAGTACCTATTGAGGACTAAGAGCTATAGGGAATACACAGTTAGGTGAGTTTAGTTATCACATCAGAAGTCAAGACTCTCAGAGGATACAGCCTTTTAACTGCGAAAACCAAGTGAAGAATAAGCCTGGAATGGAAATGAGAAACTATTGTTATTGCTGTTTGTGTCTGAAACACAAGGAAAATAAGGCATACAGACACTTGGAAATTCACAGTAGTAGAATACCTACACTCATTAAATGAGAGATAATGGATAGAACTGCTGTGACAGGTGTCTTCCAATTTATGCCTAGTGTTCCATTATTGGAACGCTAAGCATGTGGGAGTTATTTATATCCTACTGCTCAAGGTCACTGCCAAGGTCTGATTGCAAAAATTCAAACAATTGCAACCTCAGGCATGAATGGGTTTAAACACCCTTTCTCACTCAGGTGAGAGCAAGAAGTACTTTTGCTGGCCAAAACTCTGAAGATTGTTGCTAAATGAGTTGAGCCATCTTCTGGCCATCAATAAAGTGTGAATTTTTGCAGATCTCTTCACAGCATTTATAGTATTGACCATAAACTTTTTCTTATGTGAGCATTTGATGTGATTAATTATATTAATATATTTCCTGTAATTGAAGTATATTTGAATTATTTGAATAAAATGCCTTGTTTACAGTATTTAATTTCATGAAACAATCAAGATCGAAGTCTAGCATTAGGGGAAGAATCTTGTCTCCTATTGAGGCTACAGTGTAAGCTTTTTGTCTGTGCAGGCTGGCCAGCCAGAATCTGTCTGCTTGATGTTGGGGGGGTGTGGAGGAAGGTTTCCCCAAACTTGCCAGTCCTAAGGAAGGACTACATTAGAATTTTGAAGAGCTTCTTGGTGTTCAAATTGGTAGCATCATTTTTTCACACACAGAGAAGCCAGTTTATATAAAGTGGACTTCTGATAGCATCTCAGCCATGGTCAGCACATGCCTGTTCAGGGCTGGCCAACCAGAACTCACACAACTATGCCTGCCTGTCACCCCTTATCAATTGCCATAATTTCAGAGCTGTCAGCATCTCACCATGTGGAAGATAAAGAGACACACAATTATACATCAGCCAATGACTTACGTAGGGATGTCTAAAATGTGGGAGTAATACCATTCTGACTCACAGTCTCCTAAAAGAGACATAATGAAAGGAAGAAAGAGACCTTTATCACTCATTGTATTATTTTTTCTTTTGACTCTCTCTGAAGACTGAGGGTCTAACTATAGTTATCTCAAATGTTGCCCCCTCAACTAGGCCTAAACTGATTCTCATATTTAAAATTTTAAACTTCCATACTGCTTACCCTGCATTTATGCCTTTCTAACTTACTGTTAATGTGTTTACTTATTATATTATAATGCTTAATATGTTTCCTCTTTCACTAGTCTATAAACACTAAAAGAGCAAGATTGTCTGTTTTGTTCACTGGTTATTCTCAGCACCTGGAATAATGCTTGGCACACAGTACACATTTGATAAATATTATTTTATAGAATAAATGAACAGAAGTGTGAAATACTTTAAATTATACATATTATATACACATGTGTATATTGGTATGTGTACACATCTATTCATTCTGAACACCTAGATACACTTCATATTATATTGCATACTATATTTATGCTAGGAGTTATATTTGTACTGAGTGTATTTAATGTATGTTAATGTATGGTAGATATTTTTCTCATTTGCAATGCAATTTAAATAAAAATATATGTACTGTCTAGCTTAAACATAGTCAGCTGTGCTTTGTTTCTGTTTTTTTGTTTTTTGTTTTTTTTCTGAGGGAGTTTTGCTTTATTGCCCAAGCTGGGGTGCAATGGCGTGATCTCAGCTCACTGCAACCTCCTCCTCCTGGGTTCAAGTGATTCTCCTGCCTCAGCCTCCTGAGTAGCTGGGATTACAGGCACCCGCCACCATGCCCAGCTAAGTTTTTGTATTTTTAGTAGAGACAGGGTTTCATCATGTTGGCCAGGCTGGTCTCGAACTCCTGACCTCAGGTGATCCATCTGCCTCGGCCTCCCAAAATGCTGGGATTACAGGCGTGAGCCACCGTGCTCAGCTGTCCTTTGTATCATTTTCATAAAGGAGGTAATTGTTATAGAATTCTGCAGGAAGAATAACCCAAACATTAGCTGATGCATGATTTTCTTTTTCTTTTTTTGCCACTATGACAAATAAAAGTTTAAGAAATCTATTATTCAGGGCTGTGGACAGATTACCAGATTGTGTGTAGAAAGGAAGTCTTGATGTTTTTTAAAAGACCTAATACAGTTATGCTTATTGTAGGCTGCGGGGAAAATTACTTCTAATAGGATTGCTCTGTCAAAAATTAAGCTACTTCATGAAGGAACATGCCAGAGGAGATGAAGGGGATGGAATTAATACAACAGATAGCAGAAATAGCCCTGGTAAGATGGTTCAGTTCATTGTTATGGACAGGATGGGACATTCATAGCATGGCCAGTGAGCAAATATGAAGACAGCATTGTTTAGTCGAGTAAATATAGAAATGCAGAGTCTGATGTTTTTTATACCATTTGAAAAACCTTTCATTTTCCTTACAAACATTATTTTCCCAGTGGAGACAGGTTTTGGTTTAATTATTTTTCTAAAATTCAAAATGAGCAGTGTGAAGTCTAGAATAAACTTGCCAAAGTTTGCATCAGTCATTTGGTCTCGTTTAAATATAGAACAAAATCATTTTAATGTAAGCTCTTGCTGATCAGACAGGTCTTTACACTTAGCCTAATGTAACTGAACAGGCATTCTCACATGTATCTATGTGAGTCTCTAAGTTAAGGTAATTCCATTTACATGTTTTATTTGAAAGCATTCTTTTTTTGTGAGCTTAGTCAACATAGAGCTCTTTAGGGTTCAGTAATTGTTATCTAACAGCCTCTCTCATCATGTTTGACTGTGCATCATTTGAGTGAGTCAAGGTTGATTCCTGAAAGAGGCCCAGATGAACAGGGAAATGGTAGCTAGATTTTATTGAGGAGGAAAAATAAGAAGTGGTCATACTGTGTATCCTGCTGATGTCTTTTCCCCATGTTCACTTTTGGTTTCCTCATTTAATAGCACTTTCAATCCTGGCACTGCAAGTATGTACAAGGATTGATGTATTCCAACTCATTAAAAGACAGAATGCTAGAATTGTGTTTCCAATTCATTATTTTTGTAATTGTACTTATGTTTGTTAATTAAATCACTGTTGTATACAGCAGGGTGTATTGGAAAAAGTGCAGCAAATCAGGTTTTGCATGGAACCATCACATTTACTGGAATAGTCACATTTAGAGATAATGAACAAAACCATGTTTTTGTCCCAGTTTTTAAAAGTTAACAGAGCAATAAAATTACTGAGTATGCTTGAATTTTTTCAAGGATGGACATCTTAGCACACAAGAGGCCCATGAAATGGATCAAGAGACAGTACTACTCTGAATAGCAGAATAATACAGGTACTTGGCCAAATGTGCTGGGAACTGACTCAATTGGGGAGCTGGACCTCTGATTCAGACCTGAAGGGAGGATTTATTCATCACACAAATGAACAGAGAGTGGGGGTCTAGGCCCATATTCTGTCTGTTGACAAGTAAATTAATCAATTCATTTATTTTTTAGCAATCAAAAAATATATTTTGGAAAGAAAACATAGAGAAATTGATTTCGATATAGTCATAAAGTCAGAATCAGAGCTTGACAAAGCAAACACAGAAAGGTAAACTAGAAATAAAGAATATTTGAATAATATAGTAAGACTTAGGTAATAGATATATTTTATATTCTATTAACAGGAAATATGCCTTATTTTCAAGAAACAATGGAGTATATTTAAGGATTTCTAAAAATTCAGTCACTAAGGTACACATACAAAATAATTATAATTTGTAAGCCATATTATCTAACTGTAGTACTAAAAAAGAAAATAACGATATAATGAAAAATTATATTGACTACAACAGAACTAGAAAATAATACTCATGTCAAGGAGACTATGACAAATTGAATTAAAGAATGTTTAGATAATTACGAGAACAGACACAGTTGATGATTATTAAAAGATGCTCAATTATGTGTTGAGGTGAATTAATAGTAGTAAATCATTTCTTTAATAAACTAAATGAGTTAGCATAAATGACCTAAAGTTTAAACTCAAGAATTAGAAAATGTAATTGATTTTTAAAAGTCAACTAAAGAAAACAAGAGGAAGAAATTGCTATGGATACATGGAAATGCGATGGAATTGAAAGCCAGGGAAAAAAATAGAATAGGTAAAATGTACGTTGATTAATTAAAAATAGGATCCTAAACTGTAGTATGCTCTTTTCAATGTTAAAATTATCTATTGGCAAAGATTCATGTATCTTATTTTTCCTTCAATACTACAGATCTCTTTTGTCTTCTAAGCTTCATGAAGAGTTAGGCTACGGATGTTGCCGAAAATTCAGAGTAAAGCAGGTCAGAGTGGAGAGTCCCACCACAAAATGTGCCCCAGCAGAGTTAGAGGAGAGTTTCCCAAGTTGTCGAAGCCATGGTTCTCGCGTGCATGAATGAGGCACAGACACGTTCAGAGGTGCAAACTTCCACATTATGTTTTGTGAGAGTTATTTATTTCTATTTAGCTATTTGACTTATTTTATTTGGAATTAATTTTTGTACATGTGTGGGGGTAGGAGGTCAAACTTCATTTTTTTGGATGTGAATCCAGCTTTCCCAGCACTGTTTCTTAAAATAAGAAAAACTTAGTCGTACCATGAGGTGAAATCTACACACGCATTTGTCAATCTGAATCAAAGGAGATTCCACAATTACTCACACACTGGTTAACTTCTTGGTCACTGCATTCATCAGTACCTTGTGTTTTAAGATTCTTCTGTAGAATAATGAGTGCCAAAGTTGAAGAGGCCACATTAGAAATCATGAGCCATTTACAAACATATGTCTATAATCTTTTTATTTTTTGTAATAAAAATTAATACTCACCTTCTTTTGTACAGGATTTTAAGCTCTTGAAAGTTTATTTTCTTTTTGAATGTTTATTTATTTATTTAGAGACAGAGTCTTGCTCTGTTACCCAGGCTGGAGTGCAGTGGTGTGATTTTGGCTCACTGCAACCTCCGCATCGTGGGTTCAAGTGATTCTCCTGCCTCAGCCTCCTAAGTAGCTGGGATTACAGGCGTGTGCCACCATGCCTGGCTAATTTTTGTATCTTTTAGTAGAGATGGGGTTTTACCATGTTGGCCAAGCGGGTCTTGAACTCTTGACCTCAAGTCATCCACCTGCCTTGGCCTCCCAAGTGCTGGGATTACAGGCGTCAGCCACCGTGCCCACCTTGTGCATGTATTTAAATCCTACATGATAAATTCAGGTTCTCATAATGATAATCAAGGTTTTGAAAATTATTTTGCTAATGGAGTTTTCTTTCAGGCATATTGTAATTTAATCTCGACATATTTACTTAATCATAAATATAAATAGCATCATGGTTTAGGGATATTTACATATTTCTAGCTACAGAAGAAAGATAATACAATGTACCTGGCTCATTAAATATGAGAGTAAAGTCTGAGTATTTTGGCTTTTTGAGAAGTGCAGCCCATGATGGTAATTCTACAGTATGCGATGCCATAATCACATGATGGATGCAAGGAGTCTCATTTGGGGAATGGTAGACCATAGGTCAATTGAAATTGTTTGAGGACTTATCAGAGATAGGTGCCTTTACTTTATAGACTGGATATGGATCAATACTGATCTGAGGAAAACTAGACTTTTTACTCAAGGAATTTGCTGCTTCTCTACATTGCAAAAAGAATGATCGCTTACATAAAAATCTGATTATTATACCTACTTAAAGATCTTCAATATTTCTAAATACTTATAAGACCAGGGTTATCCATTGGTATGCTGAAATTTATTGAGAATTAAGCCAAATTATTTTAATGCGTGGATTACATATACTCAGTTTTCATGTTCTTTCCGCTTCCAAATTGTCTGAAACTTTTAGGGTTTTCTTACAAAACGTGAGTGTAGAGAACCTCACAGGGTGAGAACATACATAAAGAACAGCTAATAACAATGTTTTTTGTTGTTTGAAGAGACTGTGTGCTTTTTAACTCCGACCATTCTACATCTGTGCTGCCTTATACAAGAGCCTATTTTAATTGCCACGTGTGTCTCTTTAAATTTAAATTAATTAAAATCAAAGAAAATTCAAAACTTAGTTAACTCAGTCGCACTAGCCACAAGTTCATTAGCCATGTGTTAGTGGCTGCTCCATTGGACAGATCAGATTATGAATGTTTCCATAATCAAAGTGAGTTGAACCATGACAGTACTGCTTTAGAATTTAGATAGTCACTACACTTTCCTTTTACTACCTATTATTACCTTTACTATTTTTTTTTTTTTTTTTGAGACGGGGTCTCGCTCTGTCACCAGGCTGGAGTGCAGTGACGCGATCTCAGCTGACTGCAAACTCTGCCTCCCAGGTTCAAGCGATTCTCCTGCCTCATCCTCCTGAGTAGCTGAGATTACAGGTGTGTGCCACAACACCGGCTAATTGTTATTATTATTATTATTATTTTGTATTTTTAGTAGAGACAGGGTTTCACTATGTTGGCCGGGCTGTTCACCAACTCCTCACCTTAAGTGATCCGCTCGCCTCGGCCTCCCAAAGTGCTGGGATTACAGGCGTGACCTTTACTTTTTCACCATGTTGTATTCCTATTTGACATTCCCTCCTCTTGTACTGCTCCCATCTACTGAACTCTTGTCTTCCAAATCTACCCTATTCTGCATAATGACTTTCTAGTTCTGCCTGTTGGTGGGACTCCCTTGAACTTTTTTTTTGTTGTTGTTATCCACTCTTTCCTTTGATTGGACGCAGTTCTCTCAAATGACTGCATATGTTTGCTCTTCAGTGGATGTTTACTTGAATATCTTGATACATGTGCCACATTTCACCAAGCCACACCAAGACTCATCTCATAAAATATGGTATTTGTATTTTGTCACTCATGACCTTTTCACTTCCATATATTTTACAAAATAAATATAACTACTTTGGCAGGAAGCCTGCTATGGTTTGAATGTTCCCCTAAAACATGGTGAAATTTAATTGCCAATATAATGGTATTGGGAGGTAGGGACTTTAAAAGATGATTAAGTCATGAAGGCTTTGCCCTCATGAATGTATTAATGCCTTATCATGGGAGTCAATTAGTTATTGAAGTGGGTTCTTGATACAAAAGACAAGTTTGGGCCTATTTCTCTCTGTCTCCCGCATGCTTACTTACCCTTCTGCCGTGTTATGACACAGCAAGGAAGCCCTCACTAGATGTGGCCACTCAGTCTTGGACTTCTCAGTCTCCAGAACCATGAGCCAAATAAACTTAGTTTACTTAAAAATTATCCAGTTTGCTATATTCTTTTATAGTGGCTGAAAATGAACACAGACTATTTTGTTATAATGTTAGTGATTTTTTTCTTTGCCTTTTAAAAAGAATGAAGAATTTTCCAGATGACTTGAAAAGATTAAAAAATCAGCTAATTACTATTCAGAAACACTTAATAGAATTATAATAAATAGATCTAAAATTTTGGGTAGAAAGTTCTAGGAAATGAAGTATTCTTATTGATCGTCTTCCTAAATGGATCTGCATTTTGGACAAGCGCTTATAATTATGCCTTTTATGAAACTCTTCTAAAATATACTTTGTTAAAACTTTTATTTATTTATTTATTTATTTATTTTTAGAGACAAGATCTCACTATGTTGCTCAAGTTGTCCTCGAACTCCTGGGATCAAGTGATTCTTCCACTACAGCCCCAGAGTAGCTGAGACTATAGGTGTATACCACCATACCAGGCTTTAGTTAAAACTTTGCCATAGCAAAAAGTGTTAATATTGACTGTGCTAGTTAAAACATAAGTGATAATTAAAATGTTATCTTAACAAACTTAGTGTGTTATCTTAACAAACTTAGTATGTTATCTTAACAAACTAAAATGTTATCTTAACAAAGTTTAAGATAGAGATGTTTTGTCTAAAAGACATTTTATATCAATATATATATTCGTCATCATTAGGAAATATTGTTCACTCATGAATAATTTCTTTTTTATTATTAAAAATTTTTTGTGAGTACATAGTAGGTGGATATATTTATGGGCTATATGAGATATTTTGGTACAGGCATGGTAATTTCTAGCTTATGATATCAGAAATACTGCTCCCCATCTTAGACATTGAGCATTTTCCCTAAAATCTAGTTGTTTTAAAAGACGTGGAAACTACCAATGAGAAGGAAGAAAATGTAATTTTTCAACTTTGTACCTCCATACTCTATGTCTCTTTCCCAAAATGGGTAAATTGCTCCAATGGTTTTATTATCTGTACTTCAAATCTAACTTCCAATTATTTATTTTAATATGTGTGAAAAATATTTTTGCTTTTATTTATTGAGATATAACTCACATACAATGAAGTCTTCCCTTGTAAAGTGTACAAGTAAGTGTTGTTAAAGATATTCAAAAGGCTGTTCAATCAGCACCTCAAAAGGAAATCCAGTCTTTAGCAGTCATTTCCCATTCTTCCTTCCTGCTCATCTCCTGGGAACCCTGAATCCACTTTTTGTTTTTATAGATTTGCCTATTCTGGACATTTCAGAATGACTAAATGGAATAACACAATAGCGGCCTTTTGCATCTGGCTTCTTTCATAAGCATTTTAACAGAACGTTTTCAGGGTTTATCCATACTGTAGCAGGTATCAGCTGTTTTATTTTTAGGAATGAATAATATTTCATTGATTTGATTTATCATACTTTGTTTATCTATTCCTCAGTTGATGAGCATTTGGATTGTGTCTACTTTTTGGGCTATTATAAAATACTGCCATTAGGAATATTCATGTACATGTTTTGTGTAGATATATGTTTTCAGTTTTCTTGGATATATACATAGGAGTGGAATTGCTAGACTATCTGGTAACTGTACATTTCAATTTTTGAGGGATTATCCAGCTATGTTCCAAAGTGGCTGTATATTTTTACACTTCCACCAGCAATTTATTGGGGTTCTAATTTCTCCAAACCTTGTCAACACTTGCTATTTTCTGTGTTTTTGATTATTGTCATACTAATGGGTGTGAAAGTAGCATCTTATTGTGGTTTTGATTTGCATTTCCCTAATGAATATTTATGTTATGTACCTTTTGCAAGCCCTTATTAGCCAGTTGTGTATCTTTCTTGGATGGATGTCTATTCAAATTCTGTGCCCATTTTTAAACTAAGTTATTTCTGTTTTCATTATTGAGTCGTAACAGGTTTGTAGAAATATATTTTGGATCTATCTATCTATCTATCATCTATCTATCTATCTATCTATCTATCTATCTATCTATCATCTATCTATCTATCTATCATCTGTCTATCTAATTTTCATATATTTTCCCTTGTTATCTAGGTTTAATTTTCAGTTTTTGGATGGTATCCTTTGTAGCACACAAGTATTTAATTTAGATTTGGTCCAATGTGTCTATTTTTTTTTCCTTTTGTTGCTTGTGCTTCAGGTGTCAAATCTAATAAAGTATTCCCTAATCCAAGATCACAAAGATGTACATGTATGTTTTCTACTACAAGTTTTCCATTGTTAATGTTTAGCTATTTGACTCATTTTATTTGGAATTAATTTTTGTACATGTGTGGGGGAAGGAGGTCAAACTTCATTTTTTTGGATTGCCAAAAAATAGATGGTTTATTTCTGAACTTCAAATTCTATTCCACGTGTTTATCCTTATGGCAGTACCACACAGTCTTGATTAACATAGCTTACAGTAAGTTTTGTAACCAGGAAGTGTATATTTCCTTACCTTGTTCTTTTTTCAAGAATCTTTTGGCTATTCTGAGTCCCTTTTATTTCCACATGAATTTTAAGATCAGCCTGTCAATTTCTTGACAGACGCCAGCTGGAAATGTAATTGTGATTGTGTTGAATCTGTAGATAAATTTGGCATGTATTACCATCTTAACAACATTATATCTTCCTATCCATGAAAATAGAATGTCTCCATTTATGTAAGTTTTCTTCAATATCTTCCAATGATGATTCGTAGTTTCAGTATACTAGTTTTATGCTTTTGTTGTTCAATTTATCAATAAGTAGTTTATTCTGTTAGATACTATTGTAAATGGAATTGTCTCTTAATTTCATTTTTGAATTGTTCCTTGCGAATGTATAGAAATACAATTGATTTTTATATACTGACTCTGTATTCTGCCATGTGCCCGAACTCATTTAATAGCTCTAATAGTATTTTTTAATGTCTTAGGATTTTCTATATACGATACGTTGCCATCTGCAAACAGACATTCCTTTACTTCTTCTTTTCCTATATGGACATCACTTATTATTTTTTCTTGCTTAATTGCCCTAGCTACAGCCTTCAGTATTATGTTAAGTATAGTGGTGAGTGTGGGCATCTCTGTACCATTTCTCATCTTAGAGTGATAATATTCACTTTTCACCATTAATTATCTAGTGGTTATCTTTTTTAGAGATGCTTCTTTTTTGTTTGAGGAAGTTTCCATCTATTTCTAATTTGTTGAGTGGTTTTGTCATGAAAGGCTTTTGTCAAATGCATTTTCTACATCTCTTTGGATGATCACGTGAAGGTATTTGTTCTTTATTCTATTAAGGTGATGTCACCTTGATTATTTTTTGTATGTTGCATTCCTGGAATGAATCCCTCTTGTTCATAGTGTATAATCCTTTTGATTTGTTGCCAGATTCTAATTGCTAGTATTTTATTGAAAACTTTTGTGTCTGTATTTACAAGGAATGTTCATCTGCAGTTTTCTTTTATCATGAGTTTTTTGTCTGGTTTCAGTATCAGGGTAATAATGACCTCATAGAATGTACTGAGAAGTGTTTTTCAGATTTTCTGTTTCTTCTTGAGTTCATTTTGATCATTTGTATTTTCCTAGAAATTTGTACTTTTCATCTGGGTTATTTAATTTGTTAGCATAAATTTTTTATAGTATTTCCCTTACAATCCTTTTATTTCTATAAAGTTGATTGTAATAGCTTCTCTTTTATTCTTCATTTTAATAATTTAAATATTTTCTCTTTTTCTTAGTCTAGCTAAAGGTTTTCCAATTTTGTTGCTCTTTTAGATAAACCAACCTTTGCCTTTGCTGATTTTATCTATTTTTAAGATTTTATTTGTTTCAGCTCTAATGTTTATCATTTCCTATATTCTATTTGCTTTGGTTTTAGTTTGCTATTTGTAATGGTTTTTTTAAATGTATGTGTTTGTTTATGTGCATGTGTGGGTTTAATTTTACAAGTGGTATTGTTTTACATATTTTTTCTTTTGTTTATTTGATAAACTCAATTTTATCTTTTAAAAACCTGTGGAAATCCACTCTGAATGTCATATATTTAATAGTGAATAAATATGCCACATTATAAAAAACTCCTTGTTGCAATTTACCTCCTTGTGTATTTTCCTTTATAGGTCCTTGAGAGAACTTCTTAGAGATAAAAGGATTCCTAGAATGTGATTGGGATAACTGTCATTAGTAGGCACTGATTGCTTTCCCCTTCTGTACCAGTTTGCATTCCTACCAGAAGTGCATTTGAATTCCTGTTTCCTCATGTCCTTGCTAACAATTGAATTTTACATTATTTTATCATCTGTTATTTTAATTTCTTAATTTTGGCATTATCAAAGTTGTAGAGCCTCATTCTTATCTTAATTTGTATTTCTCAGAATGTTATTACAGATGAATCATTCATATGATTATTAGCCTTTGGATTTCTTAACCTCGGAGTTTCTGTTTTTATTCCTTTTCTTATTTTCATATAGTTTGTTATCTTGGTCTGCTGTATCAAGAATAATGAACATTTTAAATTTTATTTCATGTTAGTTTCAAACACTGAGATATTGTCTCTAAATTTGCTATCCCATACTTAACTATGTCTATGGTGTTTTTGAATTAAACACTTCAAATCTGATGTAAAGTCATCATTCCTCCCCTTGCTTAAAAGATTATGCCCTTTCCTCTAATTATAAAGGTGTTTTTCTAGTTTTTCTTTTGTAATCCATGTAGTTTTACATCTTTACTTTTTGGTATTCGGTGTGAGAGATCTAACTTTATTTTTTTCTTATATTGTTATCCAAGTTTTTTTTTAAACAAAACATTAAAAATATCTTGCATTATTTCAGTGATTTGTTAATGCTACTTGTGTAATATATCTACTATTTAGTATACATCAGTCTGTTTCTGAGATACCTATTCTGTTCCACTGATTTATTTTATGTACCTTTCAGTGACAGCACCGCAGGTTGAGGTGAAGTTACTGGTCTGTATGTGTTGTATCGTCAGATGGGACAAGTACTCCCTCTTTATTTCTCTTTTCCAATTATCTTAGCTATTTGTAGACCATTATTCTTTCAAAACAGTTGCATTTGGTTTCTAAACTATTCAATAAAATTTTAATAAAACATCATAAAATGATTAGTTTATATATTAGTTTGATATTGCAATGTTTGCAATGATAGGCCAAATCATCTATTGCTGTGACATATCTTCCTTTTTATTCAAGTCTTTCATGTGCTTCAGCAGAGCTTTTAATACATGTGTAAGTATATATACACACATAAAATTGAGTCATGTTTTTGATATTTTTCTGCAATTTTCTACTATATATTTTCTATTACTCGGATACTGTTATGAGTAACTGTAACTGAAAAATATGTCCCTGGTAGTCGTTTTTAAAACTCAGTGTTCAAAAGTAACAATGGTGTAAAATTTAAGCTCCACAGGTAATTCTCATATAAATTATGTACCAAGATAATAAAAAATAGACTTGTATTTTCAGCCAAGATGTAGAATATATGAGAATTGCAACAATCCAAGCACAAGATTTTTTTTTTGCAATGGTGACTATCACTACTGTGTAGAAATTCTTGAAAGATTATTTGAAGTAACTTAATAACATCTCATTTTAACTCATTGCTGTGTCATTAAATTATGTCTTCTCTACTCATATTGCGTTCTTCAAATAGATAAGTTTTTTTTTTAAAAATGAGACATTGAATCCATGAGTATTCAAAGAAAGTGAAAAGATACCTATAATTAGATTGACGTCTCCATAAGAATGAAGAATAGTTATGCATCGCAGTGTTAATATAGTGAGTAGTCACCGATAAAATTGAATTAGATAACTCATACAAAGTGGTATATGCTTAACAATTGATTTTTCTTTTAGTTGTGAATATATACATCCTTCATTGCCTATACCCTAAAACTTATTTTTACCTTTTATACTTATACCTATACCTCACTTACAACTATATCTACATTTATGAAGAATAGTGTTCGGGAAATAACAGATTCTTGGAGAATCTGGAAAAGGTGAAAAAGGAAGGTCCAGGGAAAACACATCTGCTATGCCATGATCCCTTAGCTAAATTTTCATTACTGAGCTTTATACAAAGCTTATTGTGGGTAACTGAAGAAATAAAAAATAGGAAGAGCTGCAATCTTGGCTAAAATTTGATCCTAAGAACTTGAAAGTGGAATAAATATTGTACACAACCTATCAATTGCCACTTTACATTCTTCAGTATGTTTCACATAGAATACGATCATTATGCAGGCTATTTAGTTACTCTTGCATAGAATACGATCATTATGCAGGCTATTTAATTACTCTTGAAAAACTATGGAAGCGGTATTTATTTCCGTAAAAATAAGGAAAAAAATCTATTGTCTTCAGCAAAAATGTTTGAGACCTAGTAATGTATATTGTAGACAGTCTTGAATCTCACCATCTTTTATTTGGAGAAATGTTTCTTTTGTAAGCACCATTTAGTCTGTGCCTGACCTGCATCTATTTCTTGTCTATGTGGATATATACGCGTTCTGGTTCAGAAGGTGACTCACAAGAAATCAAATACCAAGAATTCTGAAGTTGCAGGATGGATGAGCAGAAATGGCTTTGATATCCTACTGGGGTATTGATTATTAAAAGGAAATGAGCTTGATTTAGAGAGATTTCTCTGTACTGTGATGCTGACGCAGCACATGTGCTATCTAAGATGAAATGATGTGAACTTTCACAAACATATTAATATGTGATTTTTTCGTTCAATTTGACTTTTAACATTTAAAATTTACTATGTTCCATATATTATGCAAAACACTTTACATGGATTACTTCACTTAAGACAACAACCATTAGATACAGTGATTTTTAATATTCTTCTTTTAAATATGAGGAGTATTTAAGTGAATTTTCTCAAGTGCTGGCAGCTGGCTAGTGGTAGAATAGGATTTAAAACCAGGCAGTTAATTTCCAAAAACTGTGCTCACATACAATATGCAGATTCATTTTTTCCTGATTTGATTGTATTATTGGAACCAGAACAAGGCCACTCTCCATGGGTAATGGTGCTTCCACTAACAACAGTCTATATGTGCCAATTAATTTAGAAGGAGGCAGCTCTTGTTACAAGAAACAAAGACTGATGAGACTAGATAAAAATAGTTTAAGAAATAATTTTATTATGAAAATTTATAAAATACAGCTTGCTTTCTCTCCTTCTTTCTTTTATTCTTTCGTTCATCTTTCTTTTTTAATTAAAGGAAAATAAGGCATCTGAATGGAGATGCCATGTACCTTAGTAAAAATAAATGAATAAATAAATACTGTATAATATAATAAACCCCCATATAGGCATTTTCCAGGTTCGAATATTATCAGCATTTAACACTCTAGTTTCACCTATATAAACCCCGACTCATTCTCTCTTACCCCTATTGTTTTTGTTTTTTTGTTTTTGAGACGGAGTCTTGCTCTTGTCCCCCAGGCTGGAGTGCAGTGGCACGGTTTCGGCTCACTGCAACTTCTGCCTCCCGGGTTCAAGTGATTCTCCTGTCTCAGCCTTCTGAGTAGCCAGGACTACAGGTGCCTGCCACCATGCCCGGCTAATTTTTGTACTTTTAGTAGAGACGGAGTTTCACTATGTTGGCCAGGCTGGTCTCGACCTCAGGTGATCCACCCGCCTTGGCCTCCCAAAGTGCTGGGATTACAGGTGTGAGCCACTGCGCCCAGCCCTGATTGTATTTTTTAAAGCAATTCCCTAATGTTACATAATTTCTTCAATAAATGTTTCAGTGTATACTTCTAGAAGACAAATACTCCCTCCTTTTAAACATAACAATAACAATCATTATACCTAAAACAAATAATTTCTTAATCTCATCAAATACATAATCAGTTTCAAATTCATCTAATTGTTTCATTTAAAAAAATTGATTTGTTTGCATCACAATGCAAATCCAAGAAGAAATTTATTCTTTTTCCTTTGGCTTATTGTCTCTGAGGTAGGTTCCAAGAAGCCTAAGGATGCTGAGGACACACATGGGTTGTGGGAATAAAATGACATCTACCCAATCAAGACACCCTATGGGCAGGGCAAGGGAAGGCTTTTAAGAGTTTCAGGAGACTGTGGATGTCAAATGGAGTCCAGCATAATAATTAATTTGTAGTTAATTACTGTGAGAAATCTTATGCTGTTATTTCTGAATTTTGATGAACACTAGCAAATGTGGCAGCCTAGTGTCTATGAAGTTTTGGGCCATGGGAAAGGGAAGTCTCTGTCCATCACTGAGTAAAAAGGTTAATAGTATCAGAAACTCAGGGATAGTAAGAAATAATAGTAAGAAGGAATATTAATAATAGTACTGAGATACTAGCCCAAGGTAGAATTTTGGTAGTCGTGTCTCATGGTATATACAAACAATACTTGAAATCATGTGAATGCACATATATGAGTGTACATGTCCTCATGTAAGGACTCAGTGAGGGATAATATAGAGAAGTATAAAACACGAAGAATTAGGGAACAGAGAGCTCTCATGTCTGTTTGTTAAAGAAACATCACTTATTTGAGCATGCCTTGGAAGCCTGAATACATATAGGCACACCCTTTGGAAAGATGGTAATCAAGGCAACTTTTTAGGTGTTGGCAGAAGGCCACACACCTGGTCACATAGTGATAGGCCTTGAAGTATCTGTGAAGGGCTTAGGGTTTTTTTTTTTTTTTAGACGAAGTCTCGCTTTTCTCCCCCAGGCTGGAGTGCAATGGCGTGATCTCGGCTCACTGCAACCTCCGCCTCCCGGGTTCAAGTGATTCTCCTGCCTTACCTTCCTTGGTGGCTGGGATTACAGGTGCCTGCCACCACACCTGGCTAATTTTTGTATTTTTAGTAGAGATGGGATTTCACCATGTTGGTCAGGCTGGTCTCAAACTCCTGACCTCAGGTGATCCTCCCGCCTGGGCCTCCCAAATTGCTGGGATTACAGGTGTGAGCCACCATGCCCGGCCAGGGTTTGGGTTATTTTTATTCAACTACATTGCTCAAAATTTCTCAAACAATGCTTGGACTCATTTTCCAGGTGTGTAAAATCCCTCATTAAATATGAGATATATAAAATCCCTCATTAAATATGAGGTGTGTAAAATCCCTCATTAAATATGTGTAAAATCCCTCATTAAATATGAGATATATAATATTGGAGATGCATATATAATGTGATATGTTAAGTTACACCTCAATTACAATGAATACCAACACATTATAACAACAAAATAAAGCCTGTATTAACAGTTTTCTTTTTCTACACTGACCTCAGTATGCTGAGAGCTTTTCTGAGGTGCAGCAAAATTGTCCATCCATCATTTCCAGCACACCATGTTTTAATGTTATAAGAATATTAGTAAAGGAAGAAGAATGTGCGCTTTTTCCCAAGAGAGGCATATTTACAAAGATTTCAAATTATATTTTATTCATGTAGGTTGCATCAAAATCAGTGAGATATTATTCATGATTGTTAAAAATTGTAAGCCAACCTAATGCCCAGCAAAGGAAAGTTGTTAAGTAAACTACGGAGCAACAACCTGATGGGACATTATGCATCAACAAACAGTGAGCATTTTGAAGACTCTGTAAGGAAACTGAAATGAAGATGTAAAACGGTTTTTAGGGGGTTATAGGAATTTTTGCTTTATTCATTTTACTATTAATGTGCTATAATGTTCCCACAATTAATAGTTATTGAAAAATTAATAAACAGAAGATGAAACTGAATTAGTTTAAGAAATTATTTGTGAAAAAGAAACATGTTCATTAAGTCTGCAAATGGACATAATGAAACAGAATATGTTAATTTCAAGCTGAGCATAAACTGACTTGGCCTGAGTCAATAGCAGGCTTAATTTTAAGTGTTGTGTCTACAATGTATTAGTGAGACAATGGTAGCTGTTTAAAGAAATAAGACGGAAACAATTCAAGGCAAAATGAACAATTAATTTAATCTAATAGAAAGTAATTTAAATCATCTGTTTGAAAAAGATTCCCCATTTATAACTTAACTTTTTTTTTTTTTTTTTTTTTTTTTTTTGAGATGGAGTCTTGCTCTGTCGCCCAGGCTGGAGTGCAATGGTGCGGTCTTGGCTCACTGCAACCTCCGCCTCCCAGGTTCATGCCATTCTCCTGCCTCAGCCTCCTGAGTAGCTGGGATTATAGGCACACACCACCATGCGCGGCTAATTTTTGTATTTTTAGTAGAGATGGGGTTTCACCATGTTGGTCAGGCTGGTCTCAAACTCCTGACCTCGTGATCTGCTCGCCTCGGCCTCCCAAAGTGCTGGGATTACAGGTGTGAGCCACTGCACTCGTCTGGAAACTTAACTTTTTAATAAAATAAATTTTTAAACATACTGCTTCCATGAATATTACTTACATATCAGATCTCACCTCCACAAAGTCAATTTTTTACATTAAAAAATCTAAAGTATAGACAAATATAATATTTTCCCCAGTTTTTTAGATATAATTTTACACAGAAAAATTTTGAAGACAGTGCACAGATCTTTCCATTATTAATTTTTATCCCACTTTTTTACTTTGTGCATGCTCTTTCTATGTATATATGTTTAATATTTTTTCAGGATACTGATACTATATGTTAGTATTTAATTATAATATATTATGTCCTATCTATATGTAAATAATATAATTCAATTATATAACAACTATAATGGCTTCCCTCTATACATGTTTTCCAAAAACTAATATAATGTTATTTTTAATTATATGCCATAATTAATTGCATAACATTAATGTATCAAATAGTTAATATATTAATAATTATATTTTAGATATAGTTTAGATTTCAATGAACCATAGATAAAAACTTAGGGGATTAAAAAAAAAAGAATAACTGCACCGAACATGTAGACTATTTTTCTTCTTATTTTTTAAAACAATACAGTATAACAACTTTTACATAGAATTTACATTGTACTAGGTATTGTATGTAATCTAGAGGTGATTTAAAATATAAGGGTGGATGGGCATAGATTATATGCAAACACTATGCCATTTTATATAAGGAACTTAAGCGTCTGTGAATTTTGGTATCCTCAAGTGGTGGGTCCTGAAACCAATGCCCTGCTGATACTGAGGGATTACTCTACATATATACATATATGTATATGTGTGTGTGTGTGTGTGTGTGTGTGTATACACACGTATATGTGTCGGTGTGTATTTTCCAGAATATTATTTCCAGAAGACCAAGAGGAGAGGAGAGAGTGATGAAAAAGTAGCAGCTAATATGCTTGGAAAACTTTAATTTCTATTTCCTAAGATCAAGAACATTTTTTACACATACATAGTACAATCATAGCATGGTTACCATGTAGAGTACACTTTGACAATAATGAGGGATAATGAATTAAATATTGAAAATATTTTCCATAAAGCATTTTAAAATGTAAAGTATGATGATATTGAAGAACAACAATGAAAAGAAGTTATACAATGGCTTTTTCAAAAAGAAGCAATGAGCCTATGGCTATGATGCACTAGCTGTATATAATAGATCAACCATTCTTCAGAAGATTAATGGAAAGCTAGTTTTAAAAACAACAAATTTTCTTGATGGTATCTTCAAGGTAGCTAGGATTTGAGACGCCAAGATCTCAGAGAAAAGGAAAGCTCTCTGGGCAGCTAAACGTCCATGGCTTCTCTTCTTAAAACATCCTCAAAACCAACACTAATATAAGTTTAAGTTCCTAATTTCAGCTCTTAGCAGTCTCTTTCCACTGTCAAAAATAGAAACTTGGAACTTAGAGCACTCTCAGGTGGAGTATTTCCAGGCTTTCACTTGAGGTCCCTGAAAGATCACACTGTAAAACTGAGGGTAAATCAGAAAGAAACTAGAACTTACAAAGCTTAAAACCAAGTTTGGTTGTAGAAAAATGATCTACTTTCACTTTAATAGCCTGCTAATATGTACAGAAAATTGCTGGAAAAATACGTTATCTGTAATCTCTTATTTTTTAATACACAATGTTTAGGAACTGTTGGAAACAGATAATCGGTGCCACGAAGAAAAGTCAGCACAGAGACAAAGGATCTCTCAGCAAGGCAATCTTTACTTTCTGCAGAAAGGGTGCCCTTCACAGATGGAACAGTAGCGAGAGCACATTTGAACAAAGGAAAAGCAGACATATTTATCCCTTAAGCATTTTGGTTGTCCTTACTTCTGTGTCCTGCATCCATTGGCTGGAGCTGGACCTCACAGTCCTAAACTGATACCCGATTTGCTAACAACCTGAAACTTTCCTAAATAGGTAAGTGCAAACAAAGAAGGAGAGGAAGTTGCTTATGAAAGGTTTAAGGAAGCAATAACATTTCCAAATAAGGAAGGAGCATCAGCTATGAGCTAAGACTTGCCTGGGCCTGTCTGGACACGCCTGAGTAAGCCAAAGCAACTAATTGGGCTAAAGTATAAGAACTGATAGTTGATAGAAGGCTTTAGAGTAAGAAGCTATTATTCCTACTGTCTATTATTTTATTTTTAAATCAAGATGAGCTTTGAAGAGGAACTTTTCTACTTTCTACAGGAACCAGTAAACTTACCTGGAAAACTAATTAACAAGAATAAGTTAAAACAGACAATAAAAACAGATTCACAAGGTTGTCAGATATATATTTTTAAGATAACAACTGATAAATATGTTCAGAAAAATAAATGACAGGATGAAGAACTATAGAATTGAAAACTATGACAAATAAAATTATTAATACAATATATAGGATTAATAGCAGGTTATTTATAGCTAAAGAGAAGATTTGTATTCCGGAAAATAGGGCATTAGGACTTCTTCAAAGTAAGACATGGAGAAAAAAGAGTCAAAAAATATAATAATGACTATAATATCTTAGGTGGAATATACTGATAAGTTTTCTTATCTATTGGATACCCACAAGGCAAAAAGAGAGATAATATTTGGGAGAGATTATGGTTAAGAATTTTTAAAATCTGATAAAAGATATAAAGTCATAGAGTCAATGAGCTGAAACAAAAAAAAAAGGCAGGGTAATTACAAAGAAAATCCTACTAAGGCATATCGTAGCCAAATTGCTGAAAATAAAAAATATTGAAAAATTTTAGAACCATTTAAAGAAAAATGTCAGATTGTCTTCAAACGTCAACAAAGGACATACAGCCAATTACACAGTGAAAAGAGCATGAGCCACAAGAAATGAGATATATAAAGTCCCAAAAGAAAATAACTGTAGGCATACAATTTAATACCCAAATAATATATTCTTCCAATTTAATGTGAAAAAGGCATTTTCAAATCAATAAAAGCTGATAGAATTTATTATCAGCAGAACTACATTAAAAGAGACATTAAAAAATATTTTCGAGGCAGAAGAAAGTAGGATCCCAAATAGAAACAAAGAAATACAGGAAGGAAGAAAAATAATGGGAAGGGTAAATATAAAATGAATGTTTACTATTAAAAATAATACTCATGATGTTTTATGGGGTTTGAAATACAAGCAAAATACAAATACTCTGATGGACTTATGTTTTCAGCCATAATCAAATAGATTGGAGGAGACTAAGGCCCCACTGAAGACAGCTAGAAAAGCTGCATAAAATAGGTTTGTTTGTTTTTAGTAATCTGTTTAAAGGCATCAGCTTTGAGCTGGCAAGGCAGCCAGGAGTTGAGAAGCCATATCCTGGAGAGAAGCTTATTGAGATAAACCAACTTCCTGTATGCTAATGAGAATCTCTCAAGGCGTTATCCAAATCTTATCACAGGCAAGAGGGTAAGGAGCTAGGTGTAGAGCAGTGCTAAGGGATAGAGAAGCTAATAGAGCTTTAGGCAACCTACGGAGTTGCGAGACAAAAAAAAATTGCATTTTGGGGCTGCCAAAACAACCAGAATTTAGAAGGCCAAGATCTGATAGAGAAGGCAACTGCAGGCAAGTGAGAACAATACTTAACATAGATTTTCTCCTTTAGTCATTTGTAATTAAGCTTCAAAGGGCAAGTGACAAAATAGCCAAACACAAAGGAGCATAAAAAAAGAGAATAATTTTTGGCAATGTCACGGTGCAAGGAAGACAGATATTTGAATTCAGAACTCAGAAAAAAAGAAGGGGCCCTCAGAAACACTCGCTGGACTCCTGGAAGGTCACTTAGTAGGAGTAGGGGAAAACAGAAATAAATATGTCCTTTCAAAGGCTGCAGAGCAGCCTTGAATGAGCTAAATTTGTGGCTCCATTGAGATGATCTGCTGCTGTACTGCCATCTAGAGGGCAGGGTTAAGCTTTTCTGAAGGAAGATAACATCCATGGCGTCTAAAATGGATGGCATACAATGCAAAATTAGCATTCAATTTAAAAATAAAAAATAAACATTGCGCTTTAAAGATTGCAAAAAGTTATCCCAATTGTATTGTTACTTGAATCTATGTTCCTTGCAATATGTCTTTGCTGTTCTTCCATCAGGAGACAGAGGACATTTCCCCATCCGTTGTATCTAGGCAGACAATGGGTTGAGATGAGCTGTGACTTATATGAATATGCTGAAAGTGATCATGTATCAGTTCAGGGCTCAAGATTTGTGTACTTCTCTCTCTTTCTCTTTCTCCCTCTCTGTCTCTCTGTTTTTGATTCCTATAACCACCACATGAATAGCCTGGTCTAACATATTAGAGAATGAGGGACGACATGGAAGAGAGCCCAGAGCCCATTTGATCTATCTGATATTTCCTAGATCAGTTTAAAGTTCATCTCAAACTTGTGAAAGGGTGAAGCCATGATTGATAGATACACCAACTTCATACCCAGCTGACTGCAGATACATAGTGGAGCCCAAATGAGATGAGAACTACAAGGAGTTGATTGGTAGATTCATGAGCAATAGGAGACACTCAGTTTTGGAGTTGCTTATAATACAGCAGTAGCTAACTGAAAAACTTATTAATAGAAAGTAAGAGAAAAACCAGACAATAGAAACATACCTTTAAATGATCCAGTTATTGAAGATACTAGACATGGGCTTTACAACACCTGTGATTAATATATTCACTAACATTCAGACTAAGAGCCAAGTTGTCAACAGAAAGAGCAGGAAAACAGAATACAATGGAAAAACAACTTTAAAATTCTGAATGAATATGTTTCAATCTAGAATTCTATAGCCCCTGAATATATTTTTCACAATTAAAGTTGAAATAAAAACATCTCTAAGGAATTAAAAAGGCACAAAAAAGAGAGAGATTATTACCTGTAGAACCTCACAAAATTTAAATAAAATGTTAATGGCAGAATACTTCAGTCACTAGGAAAACTTAAAAAAATAACCCTAGATTACCCCGCCCCACAAATGCAGAGAGGTGAAGAGCAACAGAAAGTGTCATATATGGATATAAATGAATAAATATTGAGTATACAAAAATTTTAAAATAATATTAGGTGATGACTAAAATACATATAAAAATACATGTCAACAATTTTACAGGAGAGGGACAAGTGGAGTTAAAGAAACCCCAAATTCAATAAATTCTTGGAACTAGATAAAATTAATACTTATAAATATCATGAGTAAAACTGGGGGCCTCCATACAGACTTGAAGAGAGTATTTTGAACAACTTTATGGCACTAAATTTAAAAAATGTAGTTAAATGGAAAACTTCATTTAAAAAGATAATTTATTAAAATCAACCCAAGATGAAATTTAAAATCTGTATTATTGTATTTTTATTACTGTGGTTAAATCTGTAATTGAGTATTTTCTGCCAACAACATGAGGCTGTGATGGTTTCACTGGTAAATACCTAGAGTTGTTTTCATTCCTTTTTTAATTGCCAATTTTGAAATTTATTTCTTGTGACAATGCTGCAAGGTAGATTAACCCGTTTCACAAATTAGGAAACTGAGATTTAAAGAGTGTGTGAATAAAGGTTAGATTTGACTTTACGTAATAATAAAAAAAGTTGCTCAAAGAAAACAGGAGTTTTTTCTCTTATGCGACCATGAATCTCAGTAATTTCATTCATAATATGGTATTCATAATATTGCTTTTCTAAAAGATGGAGTTTTTGTCAGATGATTTCTTAGGGATCGATAATTCTAGCAGGGAAGAAAAATCAAATTAGGTTTGTATTATGTAACTTTGCAAATCTCTATTTTGTGTTATATATTCAAACTTCTGGGGATTCTTGAGTTCTACTATTTGTTTTGTTAAGCTAAAATTTTCTGTGAATTATTGGAAATCAGTCGTTTTCTGTGTCTTTTACCGAGACAAGGAACTAAGCCTGCAGATTTTGTATTCGAGACAGCATTATTAGTATACTCTGTTTCAATGAAAACTGAAAGCATACATCCGTTCATTTACTTCACTCATTCAACAAGTATTTTGTGATCATCTATGTTGTGATAGATATAGAGCAAACACCTAATTCATGCCATCATGAAGTTTGTCATGCATAGAAAAGGACAGTCATTAATCAAAAAAAAATTTTTTTTCTTTTTTTGAGATGGAGTCTCACTCTGTCGCCCAGGCTTGAGTGCAGTGGTGCGATCTCGGCTCACTGCAGCTTTTGCCTGCCGAGTTCAAGCAATTCTCTTGCCTCAGCCTCCAAAGTACCTGGGACTACAGGCACGCGCCATTTTTTGTATTTTTAGTAGAGACGGCGTTTCACCGTGCTGGTCAGGCTGGTCTCCAGCTCCTGACCTCGTGATCTCCCCGCCTCGGCCTTCCAAAGTGCTGGCTTACAGGCGTGAGCCACCGTGCCTGGCCCATTAATCAAAATTTTGAAAGTAAATCCATATCTCCCAACACTGTTAAGTCCTCTGGAGGAGTGTTTCTCCACACTGGGACAGTGCTAGTGGAAAGGAAGGGCCTGATGTAGCCCAGGGGTCAAGAGAGCATTCACTTGGGCCGGGCGCCTGGCTCACACCTGTAATCCCAGCACTTTGGGAGGCCGAGGCAGGCAGATCACTTGAGGTCAGGAGTTTGAGACCAGCCTGGCCAACATGGCAAAACCCCGTCTCTACTAAAATCAGAAAAATTAGCTGGGTGTGGTAGCGTCCACCTGTAGTCCTAGATACGCAGGAGGCTGAGGCAGGAGAATCACTTGAACTCTGGAGGTGGAGGTTGCAGTGAGCCGAGACCAGGCCACTGCACTCCAGTCTGGGTGACGGAGCGAGACTCCATCTCAAAAAACAAACAAACAAACAAAATGAGCATTTGCTGAAACACATCTTTGAAGTAAGATCAGAAGGAGCAGCTCACTCACTAGGCCAGGTGGGGAGGTTGTGGTGGGACAGTGTGGAGCAAAAGAGGAACTGTAGGCCGAAAGGAGCGGGATCTGCGCGAGAGGCACCATGAACAAGTAGAGTGACTGTGGCAAAGCAAATGGAGGGCCAGTGGTTCGGGAATGGGCGGGGGAATGGGAGAGGGTGTGCAAAGGGGCAACCGCAGTGACTCCTCATGCTGCAAGTCTTGTCACGTCTATCCACTGTGAAGAAACTGTTGCGATGATAAATTAGATGCAAATAATAATGCCTTAGTGTTTAAAAGGAATACAGGATGGGGAGGGGAGTTCTTTTGTAAGGGGTATAGAGTAGTAGGCTTGCCAGGTGAAGAAGTTCTGGATATCCGCTTCACAACAATGTGAATATACTTAACACTACTGAACTGTACACTTAAAAAGGGCTCAGATGGCAAATTTTATGTTACTTTTTAAAAATTACAATAAAAAATGACTGCAAAAAAGGAATGGAAATTCCATTTCCTATATATTTCATATCACTGGTAACTCCATTACTTTTAAGTCAGGTAAATAGGGAATGCAAAATTATTTTGCTTTGTAATCTCTTAAAAATTAAAATATATGAAGTTTAAAGATATGAAAGAATTTAATAATTTGTGTCTCATAATATTTTAAATCATAAGCCAGAAAACCTAGAAAATTGAATGATATTATAACATTTTCTTTGTGTATATACATGATAACTATTTTCTCTTTAGACATAGTAACCTCGTATTTAAAAATAATTTGCAGGTTTCAAAGTGTATTATATTATTTGGTTGTTGTTAGCTATAATTGCTTTCTTCCAAAGGCAAATCCCAGCCTCTCCTACTCACACCAACGTATAGCTTAGTCCTAGAAGGGCATTTTTATTTATTTATTTATTAGAGGGTTTTAAAATAGAATAGTATTATTTCTTTCTTAGCTACTTATATTGATTGATATTATATATCTGCTCCTCTTTTGTTTCATGTGCATGTATTTTTTCACATATTTTTAGAAGCTTTTAAATATTTTACACATAATTTTAAACAATATATCTATTATCCATTTCTTTAGAAAAAAATCAGTAAATTTCTATCCAAGAAAAATAATAGAATTAGCATATTTCCATATTTTTCTCATAAGATTATTTCCCATGCGCTAACCAAATTTAAAATTTTCGATTCCATTTTAGCATATTCTTGCCTTGTTATATAAATATTTAAATACTGTTAAACATATTAATTTATTGTGTTTTCATCATATTCAAATGAAATAAATTAGTGTTTAGATTATAACTACTTTCTTCTGTCTCCTTGCTAATTTTTGTTATTCATGCAATTTCTTCACACATGAAATATATTCTAGGACCATATTCTCTATACTCAGAAAATATTTTCTATTCAGGAAAGCACTCACTGAAACATATCTTTGAATTAAGATCTGAAGGAGAAGGTTACTCACTAGGCCATTGGGAAGGTTGTGGTAGGACAGTATGGAGCACAGGAGGAATTATAGGCCAAGAAGAGTAGGATCCTCACTGAGGAACCATGAGCGGTAGAGTGACTATGGGAATGCCAATATAAATGGAAGGTCAGTGGTTTGGGGATGGCTAGGAGACTGGGGAGGGTGTGCAATGGGGCAATAGCAATGAAGCTCTCCAATTCCTTCAGATAAATGGATTCTTCATTCTTCCATTTTGGAGGGCATAGAATCCCTTACAATATTTTCTTCAGGATGGGCTCGTGAGAACAATATCCTCTGCATTCATAGATATAAATAATTACTTGTTTAGCATTTAGATTTCATTGATTTGTTGTTTCATTTTGAAATTCTTGATTAACTATTTTCTTCAAAATTCACAGGAAAATCCAAAGTTTTTTATTGTTGAATACCACCAAAAGAATGAATGAAACAAGCGTGACTTTTTCCTCTACTAGGTGACTTAATATTTTCTCTTCTGCCTTTGATTTTCAAAAATTTTGTTACAAATAGCTTTGTTATCCATTCAGTTTAAATAGTAAATTGATTTTTGACACATATGAATTGTTTATATTTATGGCATCCAACATATTATTTTTATATCTGTATATATTGTGAAGTAATCACTGAAATTAACATATTCATCACCTCATATACTTACTATTTTAAAATTTTTGTGGTGAAATCATTTAGTTTAAATCTCCACTTTCACTTTCTGTGTACTTTTTAAAACTTTATAATATGTATAACTTCAAATATACACAAAAGAAGAGAAATAATACAATGAATTTCATGTACCCACCACTCAGTTTCAAAAATTATCAACTTGTAACCAATTTTATTTCCTACATAGCTCAGCTAACTTCTCTGCTTAATTCAATTTTCTTCTGAAGCAAGTCTTAAACATTGTATTACAAATAATTCAGCCTGATTCTCTAAAAGACACTTTGGTTGGCTGCTCATATTAACAGTTTTTGGTGCAAAGCTAGTACTCAATCAAAAGCAATGTTCTGCAATTTTTTACTTTACCATATTTATTGAAATTTAAAAGTCGGTATTAAGTATTTGAATATTTAAGTGAAATATTGATAGTGATAACAAATGACAATTACGGTGAATGTCAAAAATATATGTAAGTATGTGAATTCGATATTTTCATAGAATTTTAATTTTTCTCTGAATCTTATGTTCTTAGAAAGATTTGAAATGTTCTTAAACACTATCAGATTTACCCTTTAAAAGTATACAAATCTATGGCCTGTAGTATATTCAGAGTTGTGCAGCCATCATCACTAATTTTACAACATTATATTCACCCTAATAGAAATCCCATACTCTTTAGCAGTCTCTCATTTCTTTCCAGATTCCCCATCCTATAGCTTTCTCTCTGTAGATTTTCCAATTCTGAACATTCCAGATAAATAAAATCATATAATATTTAGTCTTTTGATACTGGATTCTTTTACTTAACATGTTTTCAAGGTTCATACATGTTGCAACCTGTATCAGGCAAAATTTTGCTGAATAATATTCTACTGTATGAATATACCACATTAAAAAAATCCACTCATCAATTGATGCACACTTGTGTTCTTTCTACATTTTGGTTATGATGAATAATGTTGCTATGACCATATTGGTCAATTTCAGCAGTTTGTGTTTTTCTAGGAATTTTTCTATTTTATTTAGATTATTTAATTTGTTGGAGTATAGTTGCACCCTTTCGGAATTTTACAAATCTGCAATATTGTTAGTTACTCCTAATTTTAGTAAGTTGAAATCTCACTCTCTCTGTCTCTGTGTGCATGTATGTGTGTGAGTGTGTGTGTGTGTGTGTGTGTGTGTGTGTATGTATTTGTCTATCAACGGTTTAACAATTTTGTTGATCTTTTCAAAGAACTAACTTTTGGTTTCATTGATTTTCCCTATTGTTTTTCTAGTCTCAATTTTGTTTCCTCTATAATCTGTATTTTTCCTCACTTCTCCTTGCCGTGGGTTTAGTTTTCCTTATTTTTTAGTTTCTTAAAGTAGAAAGTTGTTAATTTTAGAATGTTGCTCTTTTTAAACATATTGGCATTTACTGCTATAAAATTTCTCTCTGAGCACTTCTTTAGATTCTTGCCATAAGTTTTGATATATTGTGGGGACTTTTTATTTATCTCAAAAAATTTTCTGATTTCCCTTGTAATTTCTTATTTAACCAATTGGTTATTTAGGACTGTGCTGTTTAGTTTTCAAATGCAGATGTTCCACTACTTAAGATACATTACCTCTTGATAAACCCATTGTAATATGAAAATGTTATAAGTTGAAAATGTATTCAGCACTCTGGTAAACCCATCATAAAGTCTAAAAATTGTAGGTGGAGCCATCATAAGTTGGGGACAATTTGTATTTGAATTGCCCAATTTTCCTTCTGCTATTAATTTCTATTGTAATTCCATTGTGGTCAGAGAACATACTTTGTATAATCTTATATTTTTTAAAAGCCTCAATAAATTAACAAATATAAAATTATACAAAATGTGTCTATCTTGGAGAATTTTCCATGTGCAGTTAAGAATGTGTATTTCTGTTTTTGTTGAGTGGAGTGTTCTGTACGTGTATTAGATCTAGTTTTTTTTGAATCTTTATTTACTTGCTAATCTTCTGCTTAGTTTGTTCTATAAAATCACAGTCTTTTAAAACCCTACTGCAAATTCTCAGTAAACCAAAATTAATTATACTAAAGCCATACAACATTTGTACAAAAAATTATACCTTAAGAACAGAGAAGTAGCCAGAAATCAAAAATAAATATGAAATTACTGAAAAGGATACATGAAAAGGATACATAAAAAGAATGTAATTCTAGGTGAATATGTTACTATACCCATTTTATTTCCAGAGAATGTCAAAGTTATAAAATAAATACTGTTCCATTTGTAGCTGATAATCAAGAAAATGTCAGATTACCTACATGTTTTGCTTTCTGTCCTTCTCAGCAGTTGTCTGAGAGTGCCATCAATACAGAATTTTTTTTTTACTTTGCCTTATAAAGTAACATGCATTACTTAAAGCAGTTTTCAAAGTAGAACAATAGCTCCAAATTTGAATTTTAAAAACTTAGGTTGGTACTGCTTATTAAACATTGTTTTAAGCTGCAGTCTTAAGCTGTCTCAAGCTAGGTTTACCTTCAACTAAATTATTATTAATTATCTGCCCTAATAACTTTATGATGTTGATTTCATAATCAAGATTTTTGAATTAATCAGAAGGTAATCACCAAAGTGAATTCAGTGTGTGTGTGTGTGTGTGTATATATATATATAAATTTCGAGGAAAAATAAAGTCAAACAATATGGTCATACTGACAACAGTTGACATCTTTTGAGGCTCACGATCTTTTGGGGCCATTAAGTGAGTGTCTGGCATTTGATAAAACACTAAATCTTGATTTAATTGTGGCAGGAACATTTTCTTAAGCTGAAGGGTTTTGACAAGAGAAATGTCACCAAGAAGATTTTCTGTCTATAAGGTTTTATCTCAGATTTAGGTGACAGGTAAACCATTCACATATTCTCTGCCTTAAAATGATCATTTTTTATCTGATCTTCCACATCTACATAATTACATTTATGGAAGGAATATTAAATCATAATATTGGCAATGATAACTTCATCCCTAGTTCATGCAAAACATACTCAGGAATTCTACATAGTGCTCGTATAAATCAGTTAATCACTATCTCTATTACAAGGCTCATTAACAACAAAACTAGAGAATTGTAGCAGTATTGTTTATTTACATAGGTAGTCAATCATTACTTATTAACACACACATACAAGGACAACAGTGGGAGATGGAAATAGCTGATCATGGACAAGATCAGGAAGCTATGTCTTGCCATCCCAAACATTTATATGAACTTTCTCTTATGGGAAATGTAGGTGCAATGAAGGGATTTAATTGAATATATTTTATTTAAAAAGTTTATGAAGTCTGAAATATGGATTAATAAACAGATTGATGAAGTAAGACTAGAGAAAGAAAGACTGGTTAGGAGAATGATGGAGTAATACAAAACTAATTTTAAAAAGAGATCATTTTATTCACTAGTATTTTAGCAATGTAGGAAGTGGAATGGATGGGAGGTTGGGTGGTTGATTTCTACATGGGAAGATGGGAATGAAGTCACTATAATGTGACATATTTTCCACTTTTTTTTAACCTCTTAAGGTTCTTTCATATCCCATTTCTCTTTCTCCATGAAAGCTGACTTTTTGAAGAAAGTTTTTCCATTGCTACAGTCCTGTACCTACAATAATCCTCTTTTCATGTATGAATGAATACAGGTGTCAAGGTTTAGATGAAGGACTATATAAACAAATATTTTATCTGGTTATCATGTGTTCTCTAATTTATTTTACAGTCAATGTTACAATAAATTTTGATGTTTCTTAATAAATGGATTGGCCAAGTCATAATTTGGGCATTTCTTAATTCCTTTTCCTTAGTAAGTTACAGCATAATTTGACTTCATTTTTTTAACATATGGCACAATGAACAGATAATCATTCTTATGTATGTGTCTATGTGTGTTTCACCAGAAAAGATTGTGCAGGGATTGGGGGGATGAGAAAGGGGGCATTGAGTTTCATAGTACTTAAAAGCGCATGCTTCCTGAGTTTGAATGCTGGTTTCATATTTTACTAACTCTGACTTTAAAGCAAGTTCTTTAGTCTTTCCGTACAGTAATTCTGTCATCTCAAAAAGACATAATACTAGTATCTGCAGAATTTTGTTATGAAGGTTAAATTTTTTAACTAAATTAACTACACTAAACTAGCTAAATTAAATTAGTTAATATTTATGAAATACTTTAAAAGTTTTTAATTGCTATTTAAATAATTTTTAAGTAAAAGTGGAAAGGGCTCTTGGATTCTTTTTCTAGCTGTATTGTGGAACAGATAAGCATCTGCCAAAAAAAAAAGCTGAGTAAAAGGAAAAAGAAAACATTTAACTATAAGTCATTGGCATAAAATTAATAATGTTCAGGAACTAAAACTAAATGAAAAAAGAAAATCTGAGACTAAACAAAGAATTAATGGTGGTTTTCACCAGCCCTGATGACCATGAACTTTATTCAGGACCTCTTAAAGCATGAGGAACTGGAGAAAAAACCTAGAGAAATAATCAAAATGGGAAGTTTAAAAGAAGACCACTACTAACACAAATGATAATGAATCAAATACTCTCATTAAAAAGCAGAGTATGAGGCAAGATGAAAACCCATAAGGCAGTTATTTGTTATTTATAAGAAACATTTAAAATAAAAAGGCAAGAAAGGTTAAAAGTAAAAGGATGTAAAAATATGCTAATCAGAAGGTAACAACAATATTATCTAAATAAAGGGGTTTATTATAAATTGTTAAAAAGGTCACTGGGTTCAGAAGCAAACAATTGCAAACGTACTTGCACATCATGACATATGATAAAACATATAAAGTAAATATTATCAGAACTACAAGGAGAAACTGGCAAATTCACAATAAGAGTGGGTAAATTAATGTATCTATCTATTTTCATATTTACATATCTCCATTGGGATGTAAACTTCATAAAGTAGATATTTCTTGTTTTACAGCTTGTGTGTATACTGTATTTAGAACGGTGTCAGGTTTCAGATAGATATTCAGAATATATCTCTTGCATTGATGAAATAATTTTTTTTACCAGCAAGGAAAAATCTGTTGGGAAGGAAAGCAGCAGGACTGGACGATTTAAGTAAGTTTTAAGAACTGTCAAGGAGGAACAAAATTTAAATTTAATTTAAAAACTATTCTATAAGATAACAAAAGATTATAAAAATATTCTATATTGTATATACATATATTCCATATATTACTGAAAAGAAAACTTCTTAACTTACACAATTTGAAGAATTGAGGAGTATTTTCTAATGCACCAATTGAGACAAGAACATAATATAAAAGAAACGAGTCATGCTCATAAAGACTATATTACTACCTTAATAGAAAGAAGCATGCACTTAAATATAACATTTCAAAAATACTCATCAAAATTAAAAACAGGGAACTTCCTTGAACTAGTATAGGCTATATTTTTTAAAATATTTTTTAAAATGTTGAAATGTTAAAACTATTTTATTTGTGGTACTTAAATCCATATCACTAACCATGTAACCCCCCCATTCCACTAACAGTATTCAAGGTAAATGACCTAAGCATATCAATTAAAAGGCAGAGATTCTCAAATAGAAAAGCAGGTCTTTACTATATGCTGCCAACAACAAAGACAAAAAGTTCTTACACAAAATGACATAAATGAGTCAAAAGATGGAAACACAAATAAAAAACACTAATAAAAATAAAGGCGGAATGGCTCTGTGTATATCAAAAAATTTCATTATAAAACATATTACCAGGAATGAAGAGATACATTTCATAAAGTGATCAGTATAAGAGGACAGAACTTCAGAATTCATGAAATAAAAGCTAGTAGAAGTGAAATAAAAAATAGAAAAATTTACAATTCTGTTTGGAGATTTCAATACCCGTCTCTCATTAGCTGATAAAGCAAGTAGACAGAAAATCAGTAAAAATATCTAAAATAATACAACACTGTCAACCAACTTGACCTAACTGCCATTTGCAGAAAATTCTACTATAATAAAGAAAATTTATTTTCTTTTAACTGTAAACAGAACATTTACCAAGATAGACTGTACTTAGACACATAGTAACTTTTCAAAGATTGAAATCATACACAGTATGTTCTCTGATTATAACAGAATTAAATTGAAAACCAATAAAGATATCTGGAAAGTTCCCAAATAATTTAAAATTATATAAATAAAAAACTTATAAATAACATATTGGTCAATGAATAAGTCAAAAGGGAATTTATAAAACATTGTGAACTGAATGTAATGAAAACACAACATATCAAAATTTGTGGAATGCAGCTAAAACAGCGCTTAAAAGGAAATTCATAGCATTAGACACTTATATTAGAAAAGAAGAACTTTCTGAAATAAATTACCTAAGCTTCCACCTTAAAAAATTAGCAAAAAAGCAAATTAAACTCAAAATAAGTAGAAGAAAGGAAATAATGTAATAAAATCAGAAATTGGCGAAATTTTAAAAATGCAGCAAAAAAATCACTGACATCAAAACTAATTATTTGAATAAATCAGTTTAATTGAAAATCATCCATCCGGACTATTTAGGGAAATAAAATGGAAAACTAAAAATGCTCATAACTGTAATGACTAATATTTTAAATGGGTCAATTATTTCAAAATGGATTTATATCTTTAATAAAACACTAATTCAAATTCATTATTTTTTTGGTGTGTATCTTTGTTAGCTGTTTCTAAAATGTATATAAAATTGTCAGGGAACAAATGAACCAATGTGGGAGGTTATCAAGAGTTATTGGAGGAAAGACAGATAGCTATAAAAATGAGGGCACAAATATTCGGGACTTCCTGAGTCTGTGTCATGTGTCATGGTCCTCACGTTTGGTTCAGAATAAATGTCTTCAAATATTTTACAGAGTTTGGCTTTTTTTGGTCAATATTGATTGGTGCCCAATGCCTGGCCTCAGAGAAAACTCAGGACCTCCTAAAAAGTCACCCTAAATCAGGACTGAGGTACTGACCTGGGCCCATTGAAAGCTCCCCAACTTCAATCATCTCCTTGGATGAAACTAGTAACTCCTCCTGAGCTCTGGACTTTTCGCTTAGTTGATGGTCCTCTGGTTTATTCTGAGCTGGTTCTCTTCCAGCAAGTTGTTGCTTAGCATCCTAATTTTGGTTCAGAGGTACATTTTAAAGAGTCTTCTTCATTGCCTTTTTCTCCCAAAATAAATCTCAATTGGCTCGTCTGTACATTTGCTTGAGAAACCAAGCTGTCACTTGTGTAAATGAATCAGAGACTGACATTCTCAGTGCCACTACAGTGAAACCCAGACTACATTTCAGTTTCTCCCTTAAGGAAAGAAGTGGGAAACAAATCATCTATGAATGAGGAAAGACGAGGAGAACGACTCTCTTAAAGGCCCCCTGTTTGGTTTGCTGGCATCTCTCCTTGCAAGTGTTCATGTAAACAGGAGAGTTCCAGGGCATGCCAGGTTTTCTAGTACTCCAACTGGTTACATATTACGGTTTGTTCTTGTGTACAGTTAAACTGATTGGCAAATTACATCAAGAAAAATTCAGAGATCAAAAGTCAACCTGCAATTATGGAGTTCCTAACGTCTCTATTTCTCTATTTTGTTTTCTGCCTGCTTTAAATCTGCTGTTACTTTTCTACTGGTGTTGAGAGAAAAACCACTATTTGTATCCAACTATGTTTTTGTTGTTGTTTTAAACTAGTGAGTTTGTATAGATATCTCGTAGGATAGAGTTCTGAAGTAAAAGCTGTAGAATCTTTGTTTGTATATGTGTCAATGTGTGTTTATATGTGTTTATGTGTGTGTACCTATATTTTATTATGTGTTGTAGCTACAAGGAAGTAAATTGGATTAAAATAAAGGAGGACTCGGCCGGGCACAGTGACTCACGCCTGTAATCCCAGCACTTTGGGAGGCCAAGGCAAACGGATCACCTGAGGTGAGGGTTTGAGACCAGCCTGGCCAACATGGCGAAACCCCGTCTCTACTAAAAATACAAAAATTAGCCAGATGTGGTGGTGCACACCTGTAATCCCAGCTACTCAGGAGGCTGAGGCAGGAGAATCGCTTGAACCCAGGAGGCAGAGGCTGCAGTGAACTGAGATCACGCCATTGCACTACAGCCTTGGGGACAGCATGAGACTCCGTCTCGAAAAACAAATAAATAAAAGGAGGATTCATAAATTAAGTAAATAAGCCCAAATGCTTTTCAAATTCATGTGACTTAAATAAACCTTTAATAAAGAATCTGGCTTTAAGATTATTGGTAAAATAAAATTAGAAATATCTTCGGAATTATCAGTATTTATGTTTGTTTAGATTTATTGCTCAAGTGGTTTTATATTTATGTGTGCTAGATATTATAAAGTGTCAAATTTGGCATGAAGGTTATAAAGCTATAAACCCAGCTCAAAACAGAATTATGTTTGTGCAATTTTTGATAAATAAAATATTTAATATTGTTTGTTTAATGAGAACTAAATCTTGAGTTATAGAAAGAGATAATTAAAAAAAAAACCTGTTTAACGATAAGGTTCTTGCTTAGGTAAACACCTGATAGACACAGGCTATAAAAGTGGTTAACAGGGAAATAATTTTATTTTTTTCTTTATATTCTTGGCTTTATTTATTTATCTATTATTGAGATGTCCACTTTAAATTATGTGGGCATTTAATACAATGAGAATTAGCATGTTTAACAGCACTGATTCTTTTAAATTTCCTAGCTGAAATTGTATACAAGGAATATACTTCCTCCTTTCAATAAAAGCATTTATTTAAATTGATATTTTGAACTCTTTTGTAGAAACAAAGTCATGTCCATGTGGCTCTTACCATCCCAGAAGAGCATCGATGTGGAGGATGGAGCTTGTTGGTGCTCGCATGTCACCTTCATGGCAGGACACAAAAACAGAAGGCAACTTTTCTTCTAATTCAACACCACTAAGCTATTGGACTTACATTAGAAAATAATTATTGAATCTCTATCAATTTGTGTTATGAATTTGAGTATTCCATTTGAATGTCTTTTCTAAGCTCCCCTTTTTGGTACCTTGATATAGCAAACATCTTCAGCATGAAGAAGAAAGGAAAATCTAGATAAAGCTTTGGGGCCAGGTGCGGTGGCTCACGCCTGTAATCCCAGCACTTTGGGAGGCTGAGGCGGGTGGATCAGGAGGTCAGGAGATCGAGACCATCCTGGCTAACACGGTGAAACCCCGTCTCTAGTAAAAATACAAAAAATTAGCTGGGAGAGGTGGCGGGTGCCTGTAGTCCCAGCTACTCGGGAGGCTGAGGCAGGAGAATGGTGTGAACCCGGGAGGCGGAGCTTGCAGTGAGCCGAGATTGCGTCACTGCACTCCAGCCTGGGAGACAGAGCGAGACTCTGTCTCAAAAAAAAAAAACAAAAAACAAAAAAACCTTTGGTTATCCTGGGTTTGGTCTTAGCAGATTCTCAAGTAGATCAAATAAAATAATATCTATATAAATGTGCTTTAGTAAACTTTAATTGTAATTTATTCATTTACTTTTCTTTTTTTTTTTTTTTTTTCAGTTTTTAGATTCAGGGGGTACCTGTGCAGGTTTGTTACATGGGTATATTGTGTGATGCTGAGGTTTTCATTACAAATAATCTCATCACCCGGGTACTGAGCATAGTACCTAATAGTGTTTCAAACCTTGCCTCCCTTCCTTCCTGTTCTAGTATTCTCCAGTGTCTATTGTCACCATCTTTATGTCCATGAGTATCTAATGGTTAGCTTTCACTTATGAGTGAGAACATGTGATATTTGGTTTTCTGTTGCTGCATTAATTTGCTTAGGATAATGGCCTCCAGCTGCGTTTATGTTTTTGTTCTTTTTTATGGCTGCAAAGGACATGATTTTGTTCTTTTTTATGGCTATGTAGTATTCCATGGTATATATGTATCATACTTTCTTTATCCAATCCATTATTGATGGGCACCTAGGTTTATTCCATGTCTTTGTTATTATGAATAGTGCTGAGATAAACATACGAGTGCATGAGTCTTTTTATTATGATGATATGTTCCTTTGGGTGTATAGATCTTTCTTGGAGTTTCCCAGTAAGTCACAAACCCCAGTAGCACCACCTCATCAATTGAGAGACTTCCTCCAGCTCCATTAAATAAGGTCTTTATCAAATATTGTTAAGTAATCATTGTGCTGTTAAGTGGCATGGTTTTGACTCCTGGGTACACTAATGTCATCTAAAAGGGGGCACTGACTCCCACTGAATCTTAAACATCAATGCTAATACCTGGCACCAAACTCAAGTTAACCAAAGCCTCGCCTGCATACCTGGGAAAACATAACAGTCAAAATAAACTGCTTTCATAGGATACTGAACCAGGCCTGTATACAAAGACATAAATACTTATTTAATAATTTTTCTTCTTTCTAATATAATTTATTTTATGCCTTAATACTAGATAATTTAAATAATTATATTAAATGTTTAAATGTTTTAATTTAAATGTTTAACTACCTGTGAGTTTCCTTTACTTGTCATAGAGTTAGGCAGGGCTTTATGTCCTTGCTGTTTACAATGATGTTAATTCTATATGTAGCTTACAAAATTGAGTGAAACAACGAAGATTATCTTTTTCTATCTGATATCTCCAAATTTAAAAACTATTTAAAATCCCACAGGGTCTGATCTGTTTTCATTGCTGATGCCTCACTGGAAAACTATACAAGCACCTTTCCTCTAGGCCCAGGGGCTATCACGGAAGACGTGGGCATGTGAGACTGAAAGGGCTGATTTTGAGAGATAGAATTAGTTTAAATCCTCCAAATCAATGATGGGAACACAAATGCCTAAATAGCTGGCAAAATAAGGAACTTTGGCTCTTGGGCCTTTATGTGATCCCTTTTCAACCACCCCAACCTTAAAGAATTTCCTGCTTCATGTAGAATTAAAAGAAAATTAATGAGAGGATATCAAGATACTGGTAACAAAGCCTCCTGGGTATAGAGCTCCCCGTTGTGAGATTTATGCAGATATGTGTATAACCTTTTTTTTTTTTTTTTAAATCAGCCACCTTAGGACAAATTACTAAAAAGACTGCAAAAAGGATTATAACAAAACAAAAGTCTCTAAATTCCTTTCCATAAAAGGTTTTAACAAAATGTTTATGTTTTGTATAGCTAATTGCTACAACTCTGTAACTAAAACCAAGATTATAGTAGCTCCAGGCATAGAAGTTAAGATAAGTCAATTCTGTAACCTTGTCTTTGGCCTTTGGCTTTTGGCTTTTGTATTAAAGAAGTTTAAGGGTTGATGAATGCCTGTCCATGTCCATTTCCATCTGGCCTAGAATATTTAAATTGGCTATAAGTCTTTTGGCTCTAAGTCCATGATACAGGGGTCCCATCCTGAGGGACAGGGTGGACCTGGGGCAGGCAGCCATACCATCCTGGGAATGCTATGGGACAAAATACAAGTTTAGATATTGCTATTCTGGCAAATCTTGGCCAGAACGAGCAGAATGTAAACCAAAAATAAGATTCTAAATCCCCCATCTGATTGAATCTACGCCCGTTGACCAAGGGGATTCCAAAGAAACCCTAAAACACATACGCATACACACACACACACACACACACACACACACACACACACACACACACACAAACCCACAAAACAAACTAGCTTAGGCCATGACAGGAAGAGGGGGTTAGATATGCTTCACTGTATCCTCTGTCTTTTGGAGTTTAGACACAACTGACCAGCATTAACATTAAAATAGAGATCCTAAGACTAACAGAACAGACTCTTTGTAGCAATAAGATGCCAACTCCAACATGACTCTGGTATAAATCACATGACAGGTAAGAGACCCTAAAGGAAATCAAAGTGTTTTACCCCCAAATACATTTCTTTGACATATTTTGAAATGGCCCTGCAAAGCTGTCTCTTGTAAAAAAAAAATTACATTCTGTAGAGAATCCTCTTTTCTTTCCAGGTTTTTTCCTGATCCAGGAGAGATTTAACTAAGAATATGACACCTTTCAGTGTCTGATAAGAGACATTTGCTATCTATTCCCTCTGAAGCCTGCTACCTGGAGGCTTCATCTGTGTAACAAGAACCTTGGCTTTCACGCCCTCCCTTATCATAACCCCAAGCATTTGTTTTTTCAACTCTTTAGGTAAAAATTAATGCTCAACAATGCCCTGCCTTTCTGGGCTGAATCGATGTAAACCTTACATGTATTGATTTAGGTCTTTGCCTTTAACTTCTGCCTGCCTAAAATGTACAAAATCAAGCTGTAACCCAACCACCTTGGGTACATGTTCTCAGGATCTCGTTAGGCTGTGTCATGGGTCATGGTTTCACATTTGGCTCAGAATAAATCTCTTCAAATTCTTTTTTTTTTTTTTTTTGAGACGTAGTCTTGCTCTGTCACCCAGGCTGGAGTGCAGTGGCGCGATCTCGGCTCACTGCAAGCTCCGCCTCTCGGGTTCACGCCATTCTCCTGCCTCAGCCTCCCTAGCAGCTGGGACTACAGGCGCCCGCCACCACGCACGGCTAATTTTTTTTGTATTTTTAGTAGAGACAGGGTTTTGCCGTGTTAGCCAGGATGGTCTCGATCTCCTGACCTCGTGATCCACCCACCTCGGCCTCCCAAAGTGCTGGGATTACAGGCATGAGCCACCACGCCTGGCCCAAATTCTCTTTTTTAATGGAAAGAATAGGGTGTCAATAACAAAGAGTCTACATATAGGGATTCTTTATTACAATTAGGGTACTATAGAAAGTGGAAAAATGATAACACTTTAATAAATAATGTGCTGGGGCAATGAATATTCATATCCAAAAATTAACATGTGACTTTTACCTTACATTGAACAAAAAAATTTATCCCAAATGGAGTGTAGATGTAAATTTCAAAGCAAATATAATAGTTCTAGAAGAGAACATAGGAGACTATGTTTATGACTCCTATAGTTAAAACATGTATTAAAAAGGAAATAAATCATGGCTACTATAAAGACTGATAAATCAGAGTAGGTGATATGGTTTGGCTGTGTGTCTCCACCCAAATCTCATCTTGAATTGTAATCCCCATAACCCCCATGCGTCGAGAGAGGAACCTGGTGGGGGATGATTGGATCATGGGGGCAGTTTCCTCCATACTGTTCTTGTGATAGTGAGTGAGTTCTCATGAGATCTGGTGGGTTTTATGAGTGTTTGGCAGTTTCTCCTCCATGTGCTCTGTCTCTCCTGCTGCCATGTAAGATGTGTCTGCTTCCCCTTCCACCATGATTGTAAGTTTCCTGACCCCCCCACCTCCAGTCATATGGAGCTGTGAGTCAATTAAATCTCTTTTCTTTATGCAGCATCCAGTCTCGGGCAGTTCTTTATAGCAGTGTGAGAAAAGACTAATACACTAGGATAAAATTAAGAACTTCAAAAGATTTCATTAGAAGGGTGGAAAGAAAACAAGATAGTGAAGAAAAAGGTATTTTCTAGACATAAATAAAAAATATTAAAAAAACACAAATTAATACAAAAATGACAAATGGGATGGAGTTTTAAAAATCTAATTTATATAGGAAGATATTTATAGCTAATAAATCAGATAAAACTAAGTAGTGTAAGGAAATGGCAAATTAAAATCACATTAGATATCATTAGTCACATATAAGCATGACTACAATTACAACGGCTGACTGAGCCAAGTATTGGTGAATAAGTGGAGCACATACCAGTTCACCGTTGGTAGGAATATAAATTGGTAAAACCACTTTGAAGAAAATATTTGGAAAATTATCTTATGCTGAATGTATATTTGCACTTCTATGACCAGCACTTCTAATTTCAGGAATATACCCAACAGAAATGTGTCTATGAAGACACACGTATGAACGCTTATAGAAGCACTATTCATAATAGTAAAAAAGTGAAAATAATCTAAATGAATGAAATAGTAGAATGGATAAGCACACTGTACTACACCCATACACACAGTATGTATTATTCAGCAATGAAACTGAACTATAGCTAATTAATAGCATAACCTATCTTACATATGATTTAAGCAAGAATAGCTGGCAACAACATCACACAAATTATATGACACCTGTTATTTAAAATTTAAAATCAATATTCTAACTAAACAAAACAAGAGTAATTATTAATGAGTCTTTAAATGATAAAACTGTAAGGAAAAGCAAAGGAATCATTACTATAAAAGACAAGATACTAGTAATATTTTGGGAGGAGGTAGGAAAAATGGAGTGATTGGAAGAAGACCCAAGGAAGAATTGTCTTGTTTTTTGCAGTGTTTTGTATCTTGACTTAGGTTGGGGTACACTGGCACTTGTCTACATCACACTTTAAATTGTATATGCATAGTTTAATTAAAAAATTTGAGCCGGGCGCGGTGGCTCATGCCTGTAATCCTAGCACTTTGGGAGGCTGAGACGGGTATATTGCCTGAGTTCAGGAGTTCGAGACCAGCCTGGGCAACATGGTGAAGCCCTGTCTCTACCAAAAATACAAAAAATTAGCCGGGCATGGTGGTGTGTGCCTGTAATCCCAGCTCTTCGGGAGGCTGAGGCACGAGAATGGCTTGAACCCGGGAGGCAGAGGTTGCAGTGAGCCACGATTGCACCATTGCACTCCAGCCTGGGTGACAGAGCAAGACTGTCTCAAAAAAAGAAAAAAAATTGAAAAATAAAGTACAAGATACATTTTTAAAAATAAAACGGTAAAAATTGTATATTAGTTAGAGGGTTTGTATAACTGTTAGATAACCATTGTCATTAGCTAGTAAATATTAAGGTGTCAGTATCCTATGACCCAATATTTTCTTAACAAGGTTTACACATCAGAGGAACTTTCTTATTTTCAATAGGAGCATGTATATTCATGTTAATAGCAGATCTGTCTAATAGCTCCCATTTAGAAGCAAGGAAATACTTAGTGAAAAGAAGGTGATTAAATTATATTATATTCATAAAATGGAACAATAAGGAGTGAAAGAAATAACTGTTGTTTTGTACACAAATCTCAAGAACATAGTGTTGGGGCAGAAAGCTCAGTTCAGAGGCAGAGTAAACAGTATATTGTTCAGCAATACAAACATACATTGGGAAACCAAGGAAAAAAAACTGCCTCAGAATGGAAGAGGAATTAAAATACCAAGGAACATTAACAAGATTTTAATTTGGATGAAATGAATGCTCTCTTTCTTAAAATGCATATATGAATTTGAATTTTTTTTTATCATTTTAAGCCAATATATAACATATGGCTTTTATAGCAAGTCAAGATTTAAATTGATCTTCTAAAAAATAATATTCCTGGGTCATCTAGCTATTTATCCCTCAATTGCTGCCCACTCTTGACATCTCATCACTAATAAATTATTTAGGAGATAACTTCATATAAGTTTTACACATATACATATATCTACTATATATAGTAATAAGGCTGATTATATTTTGACAAATTAGCAACTCAGTATTTTTTCCAACTTGTTTTTTATGAGTTACTGTCTTCAATTATAATGATGAACTCTTTATTAAAAAGCCATTTTATACTGGGGAATAATTTTTCATATTTTTCTATTAATCTTGATGTCAGAATTACGGATTGATAATTTAAGGAATCTGAAAGAAGCAAGCAATAAATTATTCAGTGAGGCTTTTATTTTCCCTCATGCATATTTTCAGCACCTGCAAACCATTGATTGGAATCAGTGGGGTACATGTTGTTCATGCAGTCAGAATAAAGACAAGTGTTTTTATCAAAGTTAACATGAAGGCCAGTGTTTCATCAAAGGTAGAGAATATTGAACTCTATGTCCACTGAGAAACTTTCGTAATCCTCCCGAGTAACTCAGCCAAGCATATTTGCTTGCATCATGACCTTTGTTTCACATCATGTTTCCCATTCTCCTTCATTCTTTTTTGGAGAGCAAATAAATATATTTATGACATATGTTTTCAAAATATGTATTTGGTAATTTGAGGTAGAAAATAGGCATGGAGGAGGATGATTCCTAAGTAGAGAGGACGTAAGAACTATTTCTGATTTGGTTTATTGCAGAATAACAAATTAGTAAATTATATTCTTTCTTAAATAGTTGCATTACTTACAGTATGTCAACCTGATACTGATATCTTATTTTTCATATTACTCTATTTTAAATCAAGTCCTTTAGAGTAGAACTTAAATCTCTTCTCAACACATATCCCCTAAATTTATTTCTCAATGACCACAGGGCAAATTATCTTGCGTGTTCAAGGAATGTTTGCATTATTTTTCAGCCTAACCGTTGTCCTTGAGTTGCCCTATAACAACTAAAATGAGAATTTTATTTTTCGAACTGATAAAAACATAACCTAATATAATTTTGAAATCACTCTGCTAATATAGGGATTTGTTGTGATTGTTGGGCTTCTCTCTCTCTTTTTTAAGTTTTTTATTCCAGCTTCTACCAGTCAAGATTTTTAAAAAAAAATTAGTACACAAATTTTAGCCTCTTAGCCAGGCCACTAAGTTACATAAATATTATTTCAAATATGTACTGGACTGTTTTGGTGTTTTATCATCAAGATTTAGTTGACGTGTGAGTTTCTGTATGATCTTATTTTGAAAATAGTAGGTACTGAGAACAGAGACCTCTTATCAACATGGTTCTATAAATTTATATTATGAAGTAACTTTTTAACCAAATAGAAATCGCTATGAACTATAAATAGATAAATTTTAGTATATATTGATATACACAGAGTCATGCATCTCTTAATAACAGAATTCTGTTCTGAGAAATGCATCATTAGGAGATTTAACTGTTGCAACATAAGGTGTAGTTACACAAACCGAACTAGTGTTGCCTACTATATACCTAGGCTATATGGAATGGCCTATTGCTCCTAGGCTACAAACCTACACATCATATTACTGTACAAAATACTGTAGGTAATTGCAACACAATGGTAAGTAATTGTGAATCTAAACAAACATAGAAAGGGACAGTAAAAATATAATATTATAATCTTATGGGACCAATATCTTATATGCAGACCATTGTTGATCAAAATGTCACTATGTGGTGCATGATTGTATATATATTACAAATGTGTGTAGGAGTGTGGCCTCAATAAGCAAAAAAATGAAACAATAGGTCATGAAGAGAAAATAAGCAAAAAATCATTCTTTGAAACATCACAGAATGTAGGGGTCTTGCTGGATGCAGGTTCCAAGCACCAAGGGATGGAAGCACCTAATGGATAACCAGCACCAAAGTCTTTCCATGTAAGCCAGCCTCATTGCTTAAAGCCAGCAGCTGAGCTTGGGCTGGTCAACAAGGAAATAAAACTTGAACCATAGGTTTTACGGAGTTATAGCTGAAACACCATCCCATGCCTTGCCTTCAACTGAATTTAAAAAGAAAAGCTTTATTAAAACTGATTTAAACCATGAGGTCACTTTCCATATCTGAATAATCTTCAGTTTTACTTTCCATTGCTTCTCAGGGCATAGGGAACTGGGGAAAGATACCAGGAGCCAACCAAGCTGACATATCTAACGGTAAATACTCATCACAAAAGTAGGCCTGTAGAATGTTGAATTGGCTGTAAATTTACTTTCCAGGAAAAGTTAAGAAAAATTGCTTGGCTGCAAATTTGGTTCTAGGTAGAAGAAAAAAAGGAAAAAATCTCCCATAAATCTCTTGCAAGAATTTATAATCATAAATGACCCTCATATGAGTTTGCACTCTAATATTGCCTGGGGAGTCCAAATGCCTTAGTTCAAATATTAAGTTTGAAAAAATGTTTGTTTATAGTGTCTTTAAGTATCTGCAAGATGCAAATAAAAATCTTCCCTGAGCCCAGAGTCAATCCAAGTTATGAAGAATTTGCACAAATACATTTCCAAAGATTTTGAACCTATAGTCAAAACTCATAAGTCACACAAATAATGAGATGTCAATAAGTAAGTCTTGACAGACAACAGGCAATCAAATTAGACATCAAATACTTCAAATGTAAGAGACAAAGTATAACACTAGTACATATAGGCCAGGCATGGTGGCTCATGCCTGTAATCCCAGCACTTTGGGAGGCCGAGGTGGGCAGGTCACCTGAGGTCAGGGGTTCGAGACCAGCCTGGCCAACATGGTTAAACCCCGTCTCTACTAAGAATACAAAAATTAGCCAGGCATGGTGGTGTGTGCCTGTAGTCCCAGCTACTTAGGAGGCTGAGGCAGGAAAATTGCTTGAACCTGGGCAGTGGAGGTTGCAGTGAGCTGAGATTTTTGCCACTGCACTCCAGCCTGGGAGACAGAGTGAGGCTCAGTCTCAAAAACAAACAAACAAACAAAAAACTACTACATATATATAAATATGAGCTATAAATATATATGAGCAAAAGGAATACAAATGTGTATATATATGAACAAAGATAAATATGTTAGTTAAAAAAGATTTAAGAAGAAATAATAAAAATTTTTTAAAGTAGTAGAACTGATATTTAAAACTTATTAGATGTAGTTAAAAG